>NC_000007.14:149761410-149912925 GCF_000001405.40 Homo sapiens
TTTAAAGATTGGGAAGCACAGGCTCCATGGAGATTAGAGAAGGAGGAGGGGCTGCTGACTAGGGGTAGATAAGAGTTGGGAGGACAGAGAATCGAGGGAGAAATATGCTGCAAGAAGGGGAGGTTGGGGCCTTCTCTCTCCTTCTCCCCGGGCGATCCACAAATCCTGTCTATGCAGCTCCATGTTCAGCCCCACCCCCTCTCCACAGCTTTCTCTGTCCCCTCAGGTCTTTAGAGCCCACAGAATGCCACCTAGCACTTAGATTCTCTGCTTCATGGACATCGATGTCTCATCTCCAGTCAGACTGCAGGTTCCTTACAGACAGGTGGCATATGCTAGACATCTCTGTGCTACTCACAGGGACTGGCACATTCTGGGCACATACTGGGGACATTCTGGGCACATACTGGGTACTCAATACCCGTTATACAGTAAGTCTCTTTTTTTGAACAGGATTGGGGAGAAGTAAATAAATTTTAGCTAACTAATAAAACCTTTCTCTTTTAGATATAGAACTAGGAAATGAGTGCTTTACTTCTCTGAGCATTTTCACACACCAGGATGTGGTTCTAAAGTCAACAATTTGGTGCCTTATCAAGGTAGTTGTACCTGGGGTGGCTCAGACCTGGGGTGACATAGGGGTGGTGATGGTAGGTATTGATTTTAGTGAGGCCACCACTTTCTGAGTCTAGAACTCTTCCTTGGGAAGAGCCTTCAGAAACCTCAGTCTTCCATCACACGGTGCATTTGTTGAGCAGACGTCTTCTGAGTTGGCTATTGCCAGACTGGATGCTAAACAAATTTTGACTATTTGCAAACAAGCTAAAAAATAAGGACAAAGATATGCATGCCTTGTAGAGAATCTTTAAAATAATGTGAAATCCTGAAAACGTCTGGCACATGGTAGGCCTCACCAAATATGCTGTAAGATCTAAAAGCTGTTCTTACACGAGAATTCCAGAATGTTTCAAGAAAGGAAAACATTGGTCTAACCAACACAAACATTGTTTTTATGTGTTTGATTTTAAAAGTCTGTGAAATGACTTTTTTTTTAGCTGGAATCACAAGCTCTGTGCCTAAGAGGCTGGGTAGGGAACCTTGGAGAAGCCCAGTTGGGCTTTAAGACGAGGGGGAGTGCTGAGGACTCCGATCCCTTAGTCCAAAGAGGACAACTTCCACTCAGCTCCAGCCACCAGTTGCCAAACCTTTTGCTTTTTTCACAACAGAAGATGGAAGTCCAGATTTTTATGTGACATTTCAAGATATTTAAAATAACCTGGAGTCACCAACTCATTCTTGGCCACGAAACTTATAAACACGCCTGCATTCATGCATCCTCTGACAGGCCTCCCAGCCAACGCCCCTCCCTCACCTGTGTCCAGGTCTCATTGTCTCCTACCTTCTCTGGGATTTTGCTTTTGTAGTTCACCATTGTGATCTGAATTCTGACCCAGCTGCTCCTGATGCTGCTGTCACCGAGACTGGATTTGCTTGCAGCGACATCCAAAGGGTTTGGAAGCCCTTCGCCTAGGTGACCTCTCTCTAGCCTCCAGCGGCCTCCTCCTCCCTGAAGCGCGTCTTTCCTCGGCTCCTCTATCACCTCTACCTGGGGCTTTCCTGTCCAGTCCTTGCACCTGCACTCTCCAATCTTGTTTACAGGCCTCTCTCGGTGCCATCCCCTAATGTTGGTGTCCCAGAGGCTTCTGTCCCAGGCCCCCAATTTCTCACTCCACACTCAGTTCTTTGGGAAGATCATCCGCTCCCCCATAGCTTCAGAAGCACATGCGGATAGTTCTCAGCTGTATGTCTGCAGCCTGGCCCTCTCCTGAGCTCTCCACCCACACAGCCTCCTTCCTGCTGGGCACACACTGCTCACAACTCAGGAGACCCAGGACTACTCCCCCAGCACAAAGCTGCCCCCAACACCGAGTCTCCCTTCTGGGAGTATGCCACTGTCATCCAGTCAGTGTCAAACAGAAATCGGGCTGAGCTCATTGATTCCCCGACCCACACTAGTCAACAGGTCCTGTATCCTCTGCCTATTAAGTGTCTCTTGAATCCATCACTTCTCTGTCTCCTCTGACACAACTATGGTCCCAGGTCACCACAACCTGTCACCAGGACAACTGATGCGCAGGCCTCCAATTTCGCTCCCGAGTTGTCTAGCCAAACATCTTTCCAAACTTCAGGAATGTGAGCGTGGCCCTGTTCCTGCCCCGCCTAACCTTGCCATGGTTCCCCCTCCCTTGGACACGGTCTAAACTGCTTCACAGGTGTGAAAGACCCCTTCATCTCTCAGGCCACTGCTCTGGCCTCTCATCCCCGCTCACTGGGAAATGAATAATGCTGCGCTCCAAGTCCCACGAGAGGCAGAGGGGGGTCAAACCCAAGACTACTCACTGCAAGCTCCATAGGCTCCCCATCGTCCTACCCTCCCCGTTCACGGCCAGGCAGCCCTAGCTCTCATACCTGCGTGGGCTGGAGAAGGGCAATACAGAGACTTCTGGACCCAGCAGCCTTAAGAAAGGACTTGTTGCAAGTGCGATGTGAAAGCAACCTTCATCTGCAGTGGATGTGCCACCTCCTTCCTCACGCCACCGAGCTCCGAATCCCCCAGGAGAGTTGCGGAGACCACACAGAGCTCCCAAGCCCACGCCAAAGGACGGCCTGCCCCCCTTCAGCTCTAGTCGGTGACACGTGGCGTGAGAGAAATGCACCCCAATCTTCCTTCCTTATACTTCCGAGCTAGAAGCAGGAGCCAGGATGGTGGCTTAGTGAATAAATATATTACATTTTTATTTGGGAGAACCAATTAACAGCAGCTGGCTAAATGTAACTCACCCAGGACAGAAGGGGAAGTGGAGGGGGGTGGTCTGTGTGTGGATGGAGGTGGGACAGTGGCTAAGGAGAGTCAGGTGTTCCCTCCCCCAATTCATTTAGCAGCCCCAGAACTTTCCGATTTTAACTTTAATGAAACTTTAAGTACATAAATAACCACTCTTTCCTGCCCTGGTTGAGGCCGCGCTGGGTCCGGGAAATATCTGCTTTCCAACGGGGCACCTGGGTGGGAGCCTTCCAAGAACTTCAGCTCAGCGGTTCCCAGCAAGGGTTCGCTGAGTCTCTGTCCTAGGAGGTCCGAGCTGGGTATGCTGTGCGGACGCAGACACTGCGGGAAGGAAACAGGTGTCCCGCGGCGGCCAAACCTTCGGGCAGCAGCCCAGGTCGCCTTGCTCACCCCAGGCGGTCTCATGGCACGGGCCTCTCGAAACTGTGGGCAAGAAAGGGTCCTCGTGAGAACTAGGCTCAGAAGAAGAGCGGGGGCGGCGCCACCTCGGGGGGAGCGGACCAGGCTGGGGCCGCAAGGGCGGCGTCCGGGGCCGCGTGGGCGGCTTCGCCGTGAATGAGCTGGTGCCGCACCAGGTGGGTCTTGCGGCTGAAGCTCTTTCCGCACTGCGGGCAGGAGAAGGGGCGGGAGCCTGTGTGGATCGCCTGGTGGCGGACTAGGTTGGTTTTGGAGCTGAAGCTGCGGGCGCAGACGGCGCAGGCGTGGGGGCGGCTGCCAGTGTGCACCGCCTGGTGGCGGCCCAGGTGCGACTTGCGGCTGAAGCGGCGGCCGCACTGAGCGCAGGCGAAAGGCCTGGCGCCGCTGTGGGCCCTGGAGTGGGCGACCAGATTAGGCCGCGAGCCGAAGCGGCGGTCACACTGCGTGCAGGCGAAGGGCCGTTCGCCCGTGTGCACGCGCGGGTGCCGCGCCAGGTGCTGCCCATGGGAGAAGCCGCGCCCGCAGTCCGGGCAGAAGAAGGACCGCTCGCCCGAGGGGGCGCGCTGGGGCACCACGGGATCGGATCCTGGGCCGCAGCCCGGTCCGCCAGGCGCGCTGGCCAGGGGCTTGGCGGCGGGGGCATCCACGGTGGCGCCCAGTGCGCACTCATCGCACCCAAAGGGGCGACCCTCGCTGCGGTGCAGACACTGGTGCGTGGCGAGGTTCTTTTTCCAGCCGAAGCTCAAGCCGCAGTCGGAGCACGCGAAAGGCTTTGGCCCGGGAAAGGATGGGGTCGGGGACGGGGCAGTGGAATGAGGAGAAGCGGACGAGTCGGGAGAGGGCCTGGCCGGGCCGGCCGTCTGGTGCACCCTTTGGTGCCGCACCAAGTGCTGCTTGTGCGTGAAGCTGCGTGCGCACTGTGCGCACTGGTAGGGCCTCTCGCCCGTATGGATGCGCTGGTGCCGAATCAAGTGCGTCTTCTTGCGAAAGCGCTTCTCGCATTCCGTGCAGGGGAAGGGCCGCTCGCCGGTGTGGGTCTTTTGGTGCGAGCCCAGGTGGATCTTCTGGCTGAAGCGCTTGCCGCACTCCGCGCACGGGTAGGGCCGCTCGCCCGTGTGCGTGCGCAGGTGGCGGGTCAGATGGGCCTTCTTGCTGAAGCGCTTGTCGCACTCGGAGCACGGGAAAGGCCGCTCGCCGCGGTGGCTGCGCTGATGCAGTAGCATGTGGGCGCGCTGCGTGAAGCTGCGGCCGCAGTCCGGGCAGGCGCAGGGGCCCTCGCCCCGGTGCAGCCGCTGGTGCAGTCGCAACGTCAGCTGGTCCCGGAAGCGCCGCTCACACTCCCCGCAGCCGTAGGGCTTCTCCGGCATCGGACCCCACCCAGACAGCGCGAGCCCACTCAGTGCCCCCGGGGCCCCTGGCTCCAGTTTGTACGCGGCAGCCAGATGCCCCAGGTCAGGCGCGGGAAAGGGGCTGGGAAGTAACGATAGATGCTGGGGCCATTCGACCTCCTCTTCTGCCTCCTGATCTTCGTCCTCCACCTTCACCTTCCGAATCATCCACTCCTCTCCTGGAAAGTCAAAACAAGAATTGTCTATTGAGCTCCACGTGCGGCAACGTCTATTTAACCACAGGATCTCCACTTCCTGGAGCCCCGCGGTCTGGCTCTGCTCTCCACTCTACCTAACGCTTCCCGGGAGTGACCAAATCCGCAGCTCTTCTCAGGCCCCCTCCTGCATTCTCCTGAACCTGTGATGCGTGTGAACACCACACGGCTCCCGGGGGCTTCTTCCCCGGCCTGGATGTGCCCAGGAGCCCTCCAGCACCCCTGAAGAGGAAGGTTGCCCAAGTTTCAGTCCTCCTGCTTCGCTCCAGGTTCACATCCCTTTGGTGGCTGGCCCAGATCTTCCTGCTCCAGCAGTGCCTTTCTGGGACCTCAGTCTCCATCTCTGGTCCAGCAGCTCTCCTTGGTACTGCAAACTGGCCGCAGCTCAGCAGCTTTCTCACCACACACCTGAGCTTCCCAAACTGAGCCCTGGCTGACTTTAACCTTAGGACTAGAGCCTCCTTCCCTGGTGGCCTTGAAAACTTGATCTTTGACATCTCACCTGGGCTGCTTCTCTTGCTCTCTAACCCCTACCCCCAGCCCACCTTACCTCTAGTGGCCACGGAACCAGGGTACCCACGTATTCCTGCTACTCCCTTCTTTCCTGCTGGACAGCCTGAGGAGAAGTCCCATTTAGGAAGACCACGATGGAGTTTACAGGGTCTGGGGAACTAGTGAACACTGGCTCTGGAGAAACAGGGAAGGCCCTCTAGGGAAGCCTCAGCCTAAGGGCAGGTTGCAGGGGATTCCGCTGGAGTGTTGCCCCTGTCGGGTGCTGCAATGGTCCAGCCTAGAGGAAGGAGCCCGGGGTCCAGACGGGAGGGTCCAACTTAGGTTCTCCTCTGTCACTAACTAGGAGTGTGACTTTGGTTCAGTCACTTAACCTCTTTGAGTTACATTTCTTAGTCCGCTAAGAAAATTTGCCCTTTGTGTAAGAGTTGGACTAGTTTAAAGCTCCCACGCCTGTGCTGCATCATCAGCTCCTGGGAAACGTTGAGAAAATGCACAAATGGGGGCAAGGCCCACGAACGTGTTCTCATCTTTAAAGCTCCCAAAGTGATTCTCATTTGTGAATCATTTAAGCAGATAATTTGGGTTCCTGTCTGGCCTGAGCCTTGATTCCATCACACGTGGACTTCCACAATCAGAGGTACTCCCAGTTTCTTCTATCAGTCCATTGATTCCAGACCCCTGTCTACTTATCACACTGTGATACTGCTTTCACCTTCATTGTGGCACTCTTTACTTTTCTACTCAAGAACCATCAATAGCTCCTATTTATTTATTTTTAATTGAGTCAGGGTCTTGCTCTGTCTCCCAGGCTGGAGTGCAATGGGACGATAATGACTCATTGCAGCCTCAAACACCTGGGCCCAAGTGATCCTCTTACCTCAGCCTCCCAAGCAGCTGTGACTATGGGTGTGCACCAACATGCCCAGCTAATATTTCTTACTTTTTCAGAGATGGGGTCTCGCTGTGTTGCCCAGGCTGGTCTTGAAATCCTGGCCTCAAGCAGTTCTCCCACCCCAGCTTCCTGAGTCGCTGGGATTACAGGCATGAGCCACAGTGCCCAGCCCAGCACCCTATTATTTGAAGATAAAACAGGTTCTAGCTGCATCTGAGGCTCACCCCACCCTAGTCCAACTTTCTTTCTCCCAGGCATGGACCTTCCACTTCAGCCAAGCTGCTCTCCTCCCCTTTCCTGCTTCAAGATCTTCTCAGCCTAGAACGTCTTCCCATCCTCCACCCCACCCCTTTCAGAACTGAAGTCTACACCTTTCTTAAAATGCAGCACAAATTAATGTTTTTTGACAAATTCCCAGTGCATGCGGATCTTTTGGCATAAACTCCTATAGCACTTACTGTTAACACTTTTGTGCTTATTTGTGACTTGCCTTTATACTGTTCTTTTAATTCTTTGTTCTAGCTCATATTAAGGTCATCTCAACCAGATTTTCTCTTCTGAGGTATGGACATTTTGTGTTCCATTTCTTTTGTGTCTAATAAGAAAGGTGTCTTTATGTGTCTGATAAAAATGGGGACTGCTGCCACTTCTCGAGGACCAACTGTAGATGAAGTGTTGTACACACACTGTCACAAACCTTCACAAACCGAAGCTCCTGGAGGCAAGGTGGCCTATCCAAGGGCACTCAGCTAGTAAATGCAGAACAAAGATTCAAACCAGGTCCAGGTAACTCTACAGTTCATCTCTTTCCACTGTACTTAACACAGCCTGTATGTAGTCGGCACTCAATAAATCCTTGCTGAATAAATGATATCCCTCAGGCAAAAGGTAGTAAGGATGGTGGCAGTGGAAGGAAGTCATGGTGGGATTGTTGAGAGAGAGTGAGCAGTTTGATCACCCTGGGTATGAGGAGATGAGTTGAATACAGCAGATGTGGAGCATCTGGGTACCCTCACGATCAGTGGAAGCTGGGGAAGGCGGCATGTCAGGGGAGAGGCAGTGAAAATGTTGATCAAAGCCATGTATCTTCATGGCAACTGTAATTAGACTTAGACTGGGAGAAATAAAGAGGGGGAGGTAGGATTTCTAGAAGGCATTTGAGGGGAGGCTGTGTTTCTCTTTGGTGACCAGCCTCTCTGACTCCTGCCATCTACAGATGTGAAATTCCCTTTCGGCATTGAAGCTCCACAGCAGAAAGGTGCCAGGGCCTGAACTCAACTTGGGTTAGAAGGGCCTGGACTGCCTGTCTTGGGGGATTACCTGCCTCATGAGATAGCAGCTCCGGAGCTTGCTGGGCCCCGTTCCCTTGGCCTGAGCCCGTGGTGGGATGAAGTGATGGGAAGACTCACCTGGGCAGGTACCCACAGGCTGAGCCTTCTGTGCTGAGCACGCCTGGCCTCTGCAGGGAGCCTCGGCTTGTTCTGTGTGGGCACCTTCCTCCGGTGTAGGGGCCTCGTGCCCTGGCAGAGAATAGGATACCTCAAGGACTCTGGAGACATCACAGATGGCCAAAGGGCCCCACTGGTGCTGGGAAGCAGGAGCATTTGAAACCCTGGCTCCAGCAGGGCCCACAGGGTTCCTCCCACATCCTACCTGAATTAAGGGGCTGAGTTCCCAGCTTCCCTGGGGCTGCCTCAGACTCCTTCAAGCAGGGCGGCTGCTAAGGGTATGTAATGAGATGGACTACAAGGTTACAAGAGCCACCACTGTGAAGAGTTCCTGGAATATGTGTATGTAAGACAGTGGAAGCAAGGAAGTCCCCTGACCTGATGCCCCTAGGAGAAGGGCTGGGGACTTCCCAGCCCCCAGATGGACCCTGGTTCCAAGCAAATCACTGGGGAGAATCAGGATGTCAAAAGCCAGGCACATTCCTGCCTTAGTGCTCTGTCCTGGCTGTACTCCTGCCTGAAGCACTTTTCCCAAATCTGCTGAGCTGCCGCCTTCACCTCTTTTATTTTTCTTTTTTTAGAGAAAGGTCCTCTCTGTCACCCAGGCTGGAGTGCAGTGGCACGATCATACCTCACTGCAGCCTGGGCTTCAAGGGATCCTCCTGCCCCAGCCTCCCAAGTAGCTGGGAACACAGGCATGAGCCACCACATCCAGCTAACTTTTAATTTTTTGTGGAGACAGGGTCTTGCCATGTTGCCTAGGCTGGTCTCGAATGGGGCTCAAGCAATCCTTCCACCTTGGCCTCCCAAAGGGCTGAGAATACAGGCATAAGCCACCATGCCCGGCTTCCCCAAGCTCCTTCAAATCCTGCACAAATCTTACCTTCCCAAAGAAACCCAGTCTCCTCACCCTATTTAATCCTATAACATGCCCCACCCACCCCCACCTGCAGCTGTCTCGGCCCCCTTCAACCTGCTTCACTGGACATTATCCTCTCCCCCAGAGCTCTTATCACCTTTGAACATAGTTTAGAAATTTCCTTATTTATTGTTTGCTGACTCTCTGCACTCATTAGGATTAAGCTCTTGAAGGTAGGGATCTTTGACTATTTGGTCACTGAGGTATTCCAAATGTTTAGAATAGCATCCCACACATAATAGGTGCTCAATAAATATTTGATGAATGGAAGGAAGGAAGGAAAGAAGGAAGGGAGGGAGGGAGGGGGGAGGGAAGAAGGGAGAGAGGTAGGGAGGGCAGGAGGAAAGCAGGGGGACTCCTCCCTGAGCCTTTCCAGGGTTCCTGTTACCTACCTGAGCACACCCCCAGTGCTCTCTCTTCCCTAGAAGAGGACATCTGCTCCTGGGCATTATGGGATCCTTCCCTGGGCTCACTTTGGGGGGCCATCTCTGGCTGTCCCACAGAGAATCCTGTTACAGGCAGAAGGATGGGTCCAAGTAAAGCATCCAGTACAGAACAAGTAATCAGAGGCGGGGGCTGTTCCCCTTCCCAGCCTGCCCAAGAGACTTTTCCCAACCTGCTCAGGAAGGACAGGGTCTCTCACCACATGGACAGGGACAGGTATCAACCTCAGTCCCTTTGAGTTGAGTCAAAAAGGACAGAAGGAAGAGATGGCATAGATGTAAATATGACTGTGCTCTGTGAGTGCTCAAGTGCACATATGGTCTAGAGCGCAGCCTCCACCATGTTCCAGGCATTCAGACACCCCGTGCTACAGAAAAGGAGGCTGACCTACAGGCCCCTGGGGCCTCAGGGTTGCAGCCTCCTGAGGGTGGCTCTGCTGTCTGAGTTGTAGATGCCCCTGAATCCTCCTAAGCTTTTCCCCAAGTCCCTTCATTTCTGCCAGCTCACCCAGGGAGCTGAGGGCCTCCAAGGTCTCTCTCATGGTAACCCAGAGTAGCTCCTCCTGGGGATCAGGCCACAGAACCTATGGAGAAAAGACAGCCTTGTTCAGATTTTTCCCACGCCAGCTTCCACCTGGGCCCTGGCTCTGCCCAACCTCTCCCTATGGGCTCTTCCAGGAGCTCCAAAGGTGACATCCCCAGGTACAGCTGGGGGAAATTTGGGAAACTGGGTTTAGAAAGCCAAGCCAAGAGATCTTTGAAGGTGGCCCAAGAAGGCCTTGAAACGATTTCTGTCAGCTCTGGAAACCAGCCGCGCCACCCCCTCACCTGGCAGGTCTGTCACCGCCAACCCCGGCCCATCAGCACCGCAACTCCACGCCCCAGCGTCCTTGCCTGGGAAAGTGCAGGCAAGATTCGATTCTCTGGGGAGAGGCTTGAGGGTGGGAGCCCAGGGTGGGGAGTGGGAAACTTCATCTCCCAGGTCCTCCAGCTGTCACTGCCCGAGCTGGTGAAATAGGAGCCAGCCCAGGGGCGGGAGTGAGTGTCACTTTAGGGGTACTGCTTGGGGAGGTCCTCGAGAGGATCCTCTTGTAGCTAGAAAATGATCGCCTCTTCCTAAACCCCTACCACAAAACCACCTCTCACCCGTGCCGGGCTGCCCAAGGCCCGGACACCGCCCCTGCTGCCCCTTCCCTGCTCCGCCTTCCGCGGCTCCCCCGCCCCTCCCCCAGCAGACTCCCCTCCCCCATCTCCCCGGCAGCCTTCCCTCTGCCCCGCCCCTCCCGCTCCCTCTGCCTTCCGCCCTCTCTCCCCTGCGAATCGGGCCGGCGCCTCGGCTCCGCCCCCGGCCCCGCCCCTCAGGCTCCGCCCGCCCGAGCCCGGCAGGGCCAACCCCTCGAGGCCCCGTCCGGGTCGGCCCTCCGCTGCCACCGCCTCCCCTGACCCTACGCTCCGGGCCGCCTCGGCGGCAGCGCTCCCCTCCCCCTCTCAGACTCCAGGCTGCCTTTCCCTACCCTCCCGGTTCTCCCCCGCTCCATCTCCCTCCCCGGCTGCACACCCTCTCCCTTCCTTTCCCCCTCCTCTTTTCCTTCCTCGCCAACCCCCGCCCTCCTCCTCTCAGCTCTTTTCCCCAACCCAGTTCTCCTCTCCCCTCCCTCCTCTCCTCCCCCACCCCGGTTTCCCTTCCTTCTCCTTTCCTCGCCTCACCTCGGTTCCCTTCCCCTCCCCCTTTCCAGCCCTCCCCCACGTCTCCCCACCGCCCTCCCCCTCCCCCCTCCCTTCTGCAGCTCTCCTTCCCCTCCGAGGCCCCCGCCTCCCTTCCCCCTCTGTCTCCCCAGCAGGCTCCAGCTTCGCTTCCCTCCCCGTCCCCAGTCCCCAGAACCGCTCTTCCCCTCCCCCCTCCCAGGCTGCTTCCCAGCTCCCGGGTCCTCCGGCCCCCAAGCCTGGGGGTCTAGGGCTGACCCGCTCTCTCGGGACCTTCCCGCGGGCCCTGCCCTCCCCACTCCGTCTCCCCTCCGAACACCCCTCCGCGCCTCTCTTCTCCGCCGCGGCGCCCCCTCCCTATTTCTGCTCCCCTCGGACTTCTCACCCCTCCCAAGTTTTCCTCCCGACGGGACCCTCAGCTCCACCTCCCTGCCCCGCCGCCCTCCCAAGCAGCTCCGATCGCCGACTTCATTCCAGGTCCCGGCCCCCTCCCCAGCTCCGGGGCTCACCTGTCAGCGCCCTCCTCTCCCGCCCCTACCGAGTGGCCCGGTCCCCAGCGCCCGCTTCTTCCTCCCCTTCCCCCTCGGCCCCCTCCCACACTCCCTCTCTCCTCCCCTCGGGGCCCGTCGTCCCCCTTCCCACCTGCCTCCCGCCCGACCCCCTCCCAGCCCCCGCCCTTCCCTCCAGCCCCCCCGGTCTCCTCTACCCCCACAGCCCTCACCCTGCCCGCGCCGGCCTTGCCCTCCCTTCCCCCCAGCCCCCGACCTCCCCGGACCCGCGCCCCTCCCCCACGCCCGCCGTCCGCGCCCCTACCCCCGGGGCTGTCACCTGCGCGGAGCCGGCCGTGACCCAACCGCGGCGCTGAGGGAGACGCGGGCGGGGCCGCCTGCAGAGGAGCCTCCCCGGCCCTTACCTGGCTGGCCGGCCGCTCCGCCCGCGCCGCGGGGACCCAGGCGCCCGGGCCTCCTGCCCCGCCGGCTCTGCTCACAATGGCGCTCGCCGCCTGCAGCTCGGGTGCTGACGGCCTGAAAGACTGACAGACTGACAGCCCCGAAACTTCGCGGGGAGGAGAGGGATAGACGCGCGGGGAGTCGAAGCCGGGAAACGGCGCCTGCAAGGGAGGAGGGACCGAGGGAGCGGGCGGAGAGCCCCGGCGCACCGGGCTGGGGGAGGCAGGGGCAGGGGGTTTCAGGAGTGGGGTCCCAGGAGGGAGCACCGTGGGCTTAGGTGGGCAGGTGATGGTCCTAAGGCTCCGAGCCTGGAGTAGGTGTGGAAGTGGGAGCTCAGGACGGGGGAGGGGAGGGGAGGGGAGGGGAGGGTGATGGGAGAGGGGGTGGAGGAGGGCGAGGAGGCTGGGGAGGACAGGCACTCGGGCTGCGGGGAAGGGTGCCAAGGGAGGGTGCTCGCGGCCGCGGAGGGAGGAGCCGGGGAAAGGTGGAGCGCGAACGGGTGGGGGGGTGGCGGGGAGGAGTTGGGGGAACGAGGAGGGGCCGTGTCGGGGGGGAGCCAGCGAGTCGTGCGCTGCCGTCTCTAAGTCGCCGGTGCCAGCCGGGTGTGCAGCGCCGCGCTCCCGCGGGAGGACGGCCCGGGGGGTCGGTCTGGGAAACTCCGGCCCCGCCCCCATTCTCCACCCGGATTCCACCCCGATCCACCCAGACCCGCAGCCCCTCGCCTGGAGTCCCGAGGACCCGATTCGAAACCAGCCGCGGGAGCCGTGGGGGCAGGCGGGAGAGAGGGCTGGGCCCCTGTGCTTGCGAGAACGGGTCCTTCGAAGTAGAAACTGGGGAGAGGACTTTAAGCCAGGTCCCCTGGGAGAAGGCCGGGCCAGGTCGGGAGCTCCAGGGGGCAAGGCTGGGACGGGGCTGGGCGGAGATTCTGAGGGCGGGGTCCGGGGGAGGGTCTGGGAGGGGGCTGCAGAGAGGGGAGGGCTCTATGGGCGGGAGACGATTGCTGGGGGGCCTGCTGGCCCGGACACCACCTGGAGTTAGATGTGGAGGGCAGCCCTCAGCCCTCAGCCCTCAGCCCCAGCTCCTCAGGGGACTCCACTCGCCCTCCCTGCCCAGGTTACGAGGTTTCTCCTTGGCCTTGTTCCCGCTGCGCCCACTCCTGAAAGCTCCGGAGATGCTGAAGTCTGGACTGTTAGTTCCCGGTCTCCTCTCCATGAACTTTCTCCAAACCCCTGGGTTCCAGCTTCCTCCCTTCTGCCCCTTTACGGGAAAGGGTGACTGCAACTCGGGTCTCTTCCCAATCCCAGTGCTGCCTGATCAGCCCCGGTTTGAATCCAGAGCTGAGTGAGGCTGGGAAGGGGAGGGTGTGAATGGCCCTTGAGCTCCTGCTACCACAGCCCACCACAAGGATGAGTGCCTGGAAGAGCGCCCATCACTCGGGCTCAGCTGTGAAGGCTCCTCTGCCTCCAGGATGAAGGGAGCACCTGGAGTAGCATGTGTCACTGTGCGTGCTGGGGTGTGGCCGAGCACCTGTGCCGGTGTTGTGAGACTTACAGTGAGAGTGTGCATGTGTGTAAAACAGGAAAGGGGGGTGTCTGGGTGTGCGTGTGGCTCTTTCTGAGGACTCCAGAGCAGGAGTTGATCCCAGTCATCCGTGACCCCCTGAGAGACTCACTCTGGGCCCTTTTTTGGCCCTGGGACCAATGGTGAACCCAGGAGAAGGAGAGCCCGGCCCAGCTCTGGTTAACAGCAGCCCCCTTCCTCCCCTAGGTGGAATGACTCTACAGGATACTCGGAGGGATATCAGGTTTAGGAGACCGAGGGGTGTGGAGTCGGAGCCAGGCTGCATTCCAGCCCGGGTGTCCGGGTGTGCTCAGAGCTCTGCTGGGACCAGGGTGGACCCCGGATTCCCCTGTGGAGCCTGTCACTGCCCCTCCCAGCCGGATTCTCGGATTATTTCATCCGGCTTAGCTCTGCCCCAGGGCTGGGGGAGCTGGCTCCCCCGCCCACTCCTTCCAGAGGGTCCTCTCATTCCTCAGCATAGGCTCCCCAGTTCTAGACCCCAGAGACTCTAGGAGACCCTCGAAGAAGGAGACAGGGTGGGCCCAACCAGCCACACATAATCATCCCCAGCAAGAAACTGGACCCTGGAGAAAAGGGTACATGTTGCCCACGCATCTCCACACACTCAGGAACCCCAGCTACCCTAGAAGTGCTCCCACTCACTGCCCCCGACTCCTCAGTTTGGGCAAGAGAGGGGCGGGAGGCAGGGGAGCATCATCCAGGCAGAAGTTCAAGGCTGGAAGACCCCATCAGTCGTTTAGCCCAGGAGCTCTTAACCTTTTCATGGGGTCATGGCCCTCTTGAGAATCTAATAAAAGTATAGAACTGTCTTCAGAAAAATGTGCACATACAATTTCAAAGAATTACTGGAGTCTGAGACCTATTTGTGCATCCCTGGGAAGTCCCTGAAATTTTTACTGGGAAGGAAATTGAGGCCCAGAAATGGAGGGTGGCTTGCCCAGAGCCCCATGTTAATTTGTGGTAGTGCCTGAGAGTGTGAAAATACACACACACACACACACACACACACACACACACACACACACACACAAAGGGAAACAGATGCACTGGAAGGGGACAGGAAGGAGACTGTTTCCAGGGAGAGCTGGCCTCTGAGGGGCTGGTGTGGCAGGTCCAATCCGGTTGTGGGCAGCTGGTGCCCTGGGGCATGAGACTGGAATAAAGCCCCCCACAGCCCCCAGAACTGGCCACTGGGCTGCGGGGAGGCTGCGTGGGGCAGGAGAGAGCACCGCTGGCCTCTCTGCCCTCTCTGCAGCATTGCCTCTCTTGAGCCCAAGCCTCACGTTCCCCAAAGGTGCCCTGGGGGTGAGGGCACCATGCTACTCCCTGCCCTCCTCTTTGGGATGGCGTGGGCCCTGGCTGACGGGTAAGCAGCCCACCCTGGACCCCTCTGACAAGGGTCCTCCTTCTGCCGCATGCCCAGGGACCCTCTGGGGCATCAGACTCCGTGCCCCCCACCCCCGGGATCCTCCCTCCACCCCCGCCACTTCCCATGAGTGTCTCTCCCTACCTTAGCATCCTCCTTACTTCAATAACCACCCCTGGGAGTGGTGTCATAGGACAGGGCTTTTGGTGACAGAGGGAATGGTGGCAGCAGCTGTGGTTCCCCATCATGGGCAGGCGGTGGTGTGAGTGGACAGAGACCATCCGTGTGGAGGAGGAAGTGGCACCCCGTCAGGAGGACCTGGTACCCTGTGCCAGCCTCGACCATTACAGCCGCCTGGGCTGGCGGCTGGACCTGCCCTGGAGTGGCCGCTCGGGGCTTACCCGGTCCCCAGCGCCTGGGCTCTGTCCTATCTACAAGTGAGTAAGGGTGAGAGCCTGGGCTGTCTGCCAGGCAGGAAAGGAGTGACAGGCCGGACATCCTGAGAGTGGGGAGGCTCTGGAGGAAGCAGGCATTTGGGAAGTAGGTTTGCAGTGGGCCTGGAGAAGGGTGGAGCGTGTGAGATTAGGGTGGGGGGTGAGTGCGCGCTACGGTGGGCAGGACAGGGAGAGGCCCGAAGCCTGCTCCTTCTACCCAACCCCCGCTCCCAATCCCCGTGGTCTGCCCTCCCAACATTATTCTCACTTTGTATGTGGGGAAATTAAGGCCGGGGAAATGATGTGATTAGAGTAGCTGACAAAACTGAATGTCCCCAGGCCTCCCCAGGGTGGGACTGGGCTGAACGCTAACATCTCCTCCCCGTTTCCACCTGCTTGGTGGGTGCAGACCTCCAGAAACCCGGCCTGCCAAGTGGAACCGGACAGTGAGGACTTGTTGCCCAGGCTGGGGGGGCGCCCACTGCACTGAGGGTAAGCACCTGAGTGCGTTTGGGGACGCGGTACCTTCTGGGAGTCCTGGGCAGGGGATGCTAGCTCAGATCTGTGGTTTCAGGCAGAGAACCAGGGCTGGGCTGAGAGCTCCAGGCTACCCCATATTCACTGCCTGGGTCTGCCCCATCCTCCCCACCTACCGCAGCCCTTGCCAAAGCCAGTCCTGAAGGCCACTGCTTTGCCATGTGGCAGTGCCAGCTACAGGCAGGCTCAGCTAATGCCTCAGCAGGAAGCCTGGAGGAGTGCTGCGCCCGGCCCTGGGGACAAAGCTGGTGGGATGGCAGCTCCCAGGCCTGCCGCAGCTGCTCCAGCCGACACCTGCCAGGTGGGTCCACAGACTCCAGCCTGCCAGACAGGCACAGTCCTGGCCATCACCCCTTCCGCCTCCCCAGGCACTCCCATGTGGAGTTCTTGTGCTCTGGGCCCTTCTACAGGGCCCATACTGGCTCCCTGGCCCACTAGAGTGACCATGTCCTGTCTGCCTGCCTCCCGCTGTGCCGGGAGCCCTGTGTCCTCACCCTTCACCTCTGCCTCACACTCAGAGGCTCACAGTTGGTGTGTCTCTCCCAGGCAGTGCCTCTTCTCCAGCCCTCCTGCAGCCCCTGGCAGGGGCTGTGGGCCAGCTCTGGAGCCAGCACCAGCGTCCCTCGGCCACCTGTGCCTCCTGGTCGGGCTTCCACTACCGCACCTTTGATGGCCGCCACTATCACTTCCTGGGCCGCTGCACCTACCTGCTGGCGGGTGCTGCGGACTCCACCTGGGCTGTCCACCTAACACCCGGGGACCGCTGCCCCCAGCCTGGACACTGTCAGCGGGTGAGGGAGGGAGATGGGGCAGCCACAGGGAGGAGGCTGGACAGGGGAGGAAGAGAGCCCCAGCCCCCTTTTCCACTCTGCATCTCCTCAAGGTCCAGGTGACTATGGGACCCGAGGAGGTGCTGATCCAGGCTGGAAATGTGTCTGTGAAGGGGCAGCTGGTACCTGAAGGGCAGTCTTGGCTGCTCCACGGTGAGAGCACTGGGAGAGCAAGAGGCTGCCCAGGCCCCCACGTGCTCCTCTGACAGTCTCTCCACCCTCCAGGCAGGGTCAGAAAAGGAGCAGGGGGCTGTTTGGGAATGATCCCGCAGTGGGCCCCCAGTCATTGCTGTTGGGAGGCACTGAAGCGCAGATCCAGTGAGGGGCCGGGAGGAACCAGGCCTAGTCCCGACCCTCTGCAACTACCCCCACCAAACTCTCACAGCACCAGCTCAGACAAGTCCCTCTACCTAACTGCCCGAGCCTCAGTTTCCCCGCCAGCCTCAGAGGAGTGCTGTGAGGTAGCACTTTGGTGCTAAGCAATGGGAAGCTCTCCTAACAGAACCTTTGTCTTGGCTGGGCTGCAGGGTGAGGTGGGGGTGAGCTTCCTGCGTGTATGCCTGTGTGTGCATGGGTGCAGTGTGTGCATGTATGTGTGCATGCATGTGTGTGCACGTGCACGTGTGTTTCATAGTTCACTTGAAGTTTACTCTCTCCAGAGAGCGTCTGCAGCTTTCATGAGCTCCTCAAAGGGAGCTGTGATGGAAATCAATCACTCTGCTGTAAAGCATATACTTTTGGTATAAAGTGCAGAGCTCTCTAGAATGTGAGAATTGTGTGAGTTATTTCCCTTCTCCTTTCCATCCCTGGGTAGCTGAGCCCAGCTGTGGTAGTGGGAAGGGTGAGAATTGTGGCTGCAGGGGGCAAGTGACCTCTTTCTGTGCCCAGGGCTGAGCCTGCAATGGCTGGGGGACTGGCTGGTGCTGTCAGGAGGCCTGGGGGTCGTGGTGCGGCTGGACAGGACTGGCTCCATCTCCATCTCTGTGGACCACGAGCTCTGGGGACAGACACAAGGCCTCTGTGGGCTCTACAATGGCTGGCCAGAGGGTAAGTGGGGTGTGGTTTGTTGCTGGTGTAGCAGGGAAGGGAAGACCGGAGACCCTAGACCCAGCACCCCTGCCTCACCCCTTCTCAGATGACTTCATGGAGCCAGGCGGAGGGCTGGCCATGTTAGCAGCCACCTTTGGAAATTCCTGGAGGCTCCCTGGCTCGGAGGTGAGGCTGCCACTGGGGCCCCTCCCTCCCAGCTGCCTGCCCATTCCCAGCTTTTCAGGCTGGCTTCTGACTCCTGCACCTCCAAGCCCTTGTCCCAGTTTCATTGCTGGCCTGTTCCCTAGGACAGGGACTGGCCCTCTCCCAGATCCTCAGGGCAGAGGGCAGGCCTTGGGGTCCCACAGAAAGCCCGGCTGCCTGCTGTGAACTAGCCATCTGAGGCCAGCATTGGTGAACCAGTTAGTCATTTATCCCCACCACTGCAGCCCAGCGTGGGGCTGCCACCTCGCCTCTCTCCCCAGCCCCAGGATGTGGGCGGTGGGCCTGAAGGTGGGGCCCTGGTGCTGTGTGAGAGCAGGAGGCATTTTTCTGGGGTCCTGGTTAACGTCCCTCATCACTGCCACCTGACCTGATGGCCTTTGTCTGCAGTCTGGGTGTCTGGATGCAGTGGAGGTGGCCCAGGGCTGTGACAGCCCCCTGGGGCTCATAGACGCAGATGTAGAACCTGGCCACCTGCGGGCTGAAGCCCAGGACGTGTGCCATCAGCTGCTGGAAGGTCCATTCGGGCAGTGCCATGCCCAGGTATGGGTGGGGTAGGGGTGGTGTCTGGCACCCAAGGGAAGGTGATAGAGAAGTGTCAGCAAGCTGGTCTGGCCCTGCCTGTGGGTTACTTTGGGCCATCTGTCAAACCCCCACCTCTCCATCCTTGGCTTTATCTCTGGGAAATGGCCCGCTCATATATGTGATCTCTGAGGTTCCTTTTGGGGCTGATCCATTTGGTTATAAGTTATGGAGTGATGGAAGCAGGAGGTAGGGGGTGCTGGCTGTTTGCTGAGGGGCCGTCCTTTCCTGCAGGTTTCCCCTGCTGAGTACCACGAGGCCTGTCTCTTTGCCTACTGCGCAGGGGCCATGGCAGGCAGTGGGCAAGAGGGGCGGCAGCAGGCTGTTTGTGCCACCTTTGCCAGCTATGTCCAGGCCTGTGCCAGGCGGCACATCCACATTCGCTGGAGGAAGCCTGGCTTCTGCGGTACTGCTCGGGCCTCCCCCCGCTGCAGGATTGACTGAGGGGCTCCCCACCCTGTGGGATTGACTGGGGTCTGGCGGGGGACTACAGCTCACTCCTGTGCCCACAGAGCGCCTGTGCCCCGGGGGCCAGCTCTACTCCGACTGCGTCTCCCTCTGCCCACCCAGCTGCGAGGCGGTGGGTCAGGGAGAGGAGGAGTCCTGCAGGGAAGAGTGTGTGAGTGGCTGTGAGTGCCCGCGAGGCCTCTTCTGGAATGGCACCCTCTGTGTGCCTGCTGCCCACTGCCCCTGCTACTACTGCCGCCAGCGCTATGTACCCGGTGACACCGTGCGCCAGCTGTGTAACCCCTGGTGGGTCCTTGAGCCATGCTGGGGGTTGGTGGCCAGGTGGTGCCCTTGGATCCCTCCCTTCTCTTCAACCTGCTTCCCCTAAGCCTCCAGCCCATTCTGGGTCTTCCTCTCAGAGACTGGGACTGCTGCTGGCATGGCTGATGGCCTTGCTGGCTGACCTCTACCCCTTCAGCAGGAGGGGCTTCCACGGGAGGGGAGGAACAGGGGTTTTTGGGGGGTCACCTCCAGCTCAGGGGTCATCTCCACCCCCTCAGGGTGGAGCTGATGCCAGAGCTCACTGTCTCACCCATGTGCCCACAGCGTGTGCAGGGATGGCCGCTGGCACTGTGCCCAGGCACTGTGCCCCGCCGAGTGTGCAGTGGGTGGGGACGGGCACTACCTCACCTTCGATGGGCGGAGCTACTCCTTCTGGGGTGGTCAAGGTTGCCGCTACAGCCTGGTGCAGGTGGGCAGAGGACGGTCTGCTGGGGTGGCACTCTGCCACAGTAGGGGCCCTCCTAGAGGGCACAGTGGGGCTGACTGTAAGGAAACCCCTAAATAAATAAGCGAAACCCAGAGTCTTCCCAGGAAAGGCCAAGGGAGAACCAACACTGGGGGCATGGCTGTTACAGGCCTCGAGGCCTCCCGCTGGGTTCTCACCTCCTCCCCAGCTTCCCTGTGAAAGTCCCTCTGTCATCACCACTCAGCCCAGGGCCACTAACCAAAACCCATCTTCAGTCCTGTCTCTCACAGATGGGATGGGCTGAGTTTGTTATAGACTACTTCATGCAAAACAACCTCAGGGGAAATAAGAGGCCCTGCTCCCGCCCTAAACCTCCCCCAATGAAGTGAGCTCACTTCTCAAGTTCAGGTGCAGGCCACGATTTTCGCAATCATCTGGGGTCCCCTGAGTGATCTCTCCATTGAACTATTGGACCATTCCCACTCCTCTCATAAGTAGTGATGGGGTGAGGAGGTCCTGGGAGCACAGTCCTCACAGAGGCTGTGCCTGTCCATGGGGAGGGAAGAGGACAGCCATCTCCCCCAGCAAACACAGTCAAAGATGCATGTGTGTACACACACTCACACACACACAGGCTGCACACCAAAACACAGCAATCTGCATGTGAGCGCGCACATGTGCATGCAAACACACACACACACACACACACACACAGGCTACAAACCAACACAGAGATCTGCATGTGTACACACAGACACATACAGGCTATACACCAACACACAGAGACTTGTATGCATCCACACACATATACATGCACCCATGTACACACTTACAGACAGACACAGACATACACATGACACACACTCATGTATGTGCATGTAGATTTAGCATGTGTGTATACATGCACACAAACATGGGAGAACATACATATCCATAAGGAGGAAAGAGAGGAGTCATCTCACCCCAACATGCAGACACGCACTTACCTACACACACTCGTGAACATACAAACATGCACACACACCTCCACATGACACCTATGTGCACCTCCATGGCCCTGCACACACATACACACAGACATCCACGCATGCGGCCCATGGTGAGGACGAAGCCCCTTACCTGGCAGAGAGTCTGCCTGGCCGGAAGGTGGGCAGCTGCCTCCAGGTGCGTGCTGAAGGTGTTCTGTAGGGAAGGTCTCCAGAAGCCTCTCCGGAGAGGGTTGGCCCGCCGGGCCCCACTGAATTCCCCCTGCCCGCCCCAGGACTATGTGAAGGGACAGCTACTGATCCTACTGGAGCATGGGGCCTGCGACGCTGGGAGCTGCCTGCACGCCATCTCCGTCTCCCTGGAGGACACCCACATCCAGCTCAGGGACTCAGGTAGCCTCTGCTCTGCACTCTTGAGGCAGTCTCAGGCCTCCTGTCACTGCTCCTCCTCCACACTACCCTATGGCTTTGGAGTCCAAACACTCTTCCCCAGCCTCCTACACCTAAGCACACTGCCTCAACTTCCCCGGCCCTCTCATCTCTGAAGCAGACATACAGAGTCCTGAGGAGATGTTCCGAGGCATCTTCTGCCCCGTCCTGGGGTCAGATACAAGTCATGCAGCTATGAGAGCTTGAAAGGCCTTAAGGCATGACCAGACCGGGCAGGCCACTCAGCAGGGTCCCTCCAACCCTCCCCAACCAGCTCCTGGCTTGCCATCTAGCTCCTCCCACACACTGATCATGAGGGTGAGGGACTGGAAAATCTGTGTGCCAAGGGTAGTCCTTGGGCCGCAGGGGTAGGGAGCTCAGGTGGACACTCTAGTTGTCCCCAGCAGCCCATCCTGACATGGGACTTTCTACTTCCCATCCAAGCTCCTTCCCTTATCGCAGCCCTATCCTTCCACGTGCCCCACCCCCACCATCAGACCCCCTGTTCCAGGAGCTGTGCTGGTCAATGGGCAGGATGTGGGCTTGCCCTGGATTGGCGCTGAGGGCCTCAGTGTGCGCCGAGCTTCCTCTGCCTTTCTGCTGCTGCGCTGGCCTGGGGCCCAGGTGCTCTGGGGACTGTCTGACCCTGTAGCCTACATCACCCTGGACCCCCGCCATGCCCACCAGGTGTGCCAGTGAGGCGGCTGTGTGGGGGAGCAAGGGTGCGGTGGGACTGCATTCAGCTGTCTTACATGCGTGCTTGTGGCCCAGGTGCAGGGTCTGTGTGGCACCTTCACCCAGAACCAGCAGGACGACTTCCTGACACCAGCCGGAGATGTGGAAACTAGCATTGCTGCCTTTGCTAGCAAGTTCCAGGTGGCCGGCAAGGGAAGATGCCCCTCTGAGGACAGTGCCCTGCTGTCTCCCTGCACCACCCACTCCCAGCGCCACGCCTTCGCAGAGGCGGCCTGTGCCATCCTGCACAGCTCTGTCTTCCAGGTAGCTGGGTTGGGCTCCTCCCACATCTGTAAGATGGGCCGACACCTGCCCTGCCCTCCACCTGGGCTCTTGGGAGGATCAAGGGAGACCAGACAAGCCCAGAGGTGGTATTGGGGACCAAGGGGACGTAGACTCCGTGGAGGAGAAGTTGACCCATTTCCCCATCTCCTCCCAAGGAATGCCACAGGCTGGTGGACAAAGAGCCATTCTATCTGCGCTGCCTGGCAGCCGTGTGTGGCTGTGATCCCGGCAGTGACTGCCTGTGCCCGGTGCTGTCTGCCTATGCGCGTCGCTGTGCCCAGGAAGGTGCCTCACCTCCCTGGAGGAACCAGACCCTCTGCCGTAAGTTTGCTCAGCCCAGCCAACCCCACCCAGGCTCCTCCCCTCCTCCCTAGCCCATCCCCCTTCCAGGAATGGCTAGGGGCCCAGGGTGCATCTCTACCCTTGGCAGACTGCCGGGCTTTTCTTCCTGCAAAGGCACAGGGGGTGTGGGCTGTGGGGTTCCGAGGGGGTGGAGAGAGCCAGTGGTGGCTATGCCCCTGACCTGTGTGTGTCCCTGTGCCCAGCTGTTATGTGTCCTGGTGGCCAGGAGTACCGAGAGTGTGCCCCAGCATGCGGTCAACACTGCGGGAAACCAGAGGACTGTGGAGAGCTGGGCAGCTGTGTGGCTGGTTGTAACTGTCCTCTGGGGCTGCTGTGGGACCCTGAGGGCCAGTGTGTGCCCCCCAGCTTGTGCCCCTGCCAGCTCGGAGCCCGTCGCTATGCCCCTGGCAGTGCCACCATGAAGGAGTGCAACCGCTGGTGAGGGCAGCGACCTTTGGGGCAAGAGGAAGAATGTGGGGGTGAAGAGGTAGCTTGGGAGATAACGGGTGGGGTGCAGCCTTGTTGGTTGCAGCGTGCATGCTGGGGGTGACAGAGTGCTGATCACTTCCCCTCGGTCGTGGGGCACTTTAGGGTCCATAAAGCACTTTCGTGTGCATCATTTTATCTAGTTTTACTTTCCTATCATAACCTCATAAAGTAAGAAGTGGAAAAATTGTTCCCATTTTGCAGATGAGGAAACTGAGGCTCAGATAGGCTAAACAGCTTGCAGGGTCACACAGCTTGTTCACGAGAAGTGAAGTGAAGGCAGATTATGGATCTGCAGGCTTCAATGCAATCCCTCTCCTACCTGGGCTGGGAGTAGGGTGGTTCAATATCTCTGTCCTGCTCCAGAGCCTGGAGGATGGACCTATTGGAGCCGGGACAGAAAGGGTGACAATGTCTATCCCAGGCATGTCAGGGTGCTGGAAACAGCCCAACTCCCTGTGCTGATGACTGAGTGTTGGGAGCTGAGATGCTCAGGTCTCCAGCATCAGGGCTGGGTTTTCACTCAACGTGATGGGATCTGGACACCTGGGTACCCAGTGTCTGGGTTCCTGAGATTCTCACCAGGTCAGACCAGGTTCCTGGAAGCTCGGACTTGCCTCTTACTCCTTCTCAACCTCCTGCAGCATCTGCCAGGAAAGGGGCCTCTGGAATTGCACGGCTCGCCACTGCCCTTCACAGGGGCATTCTGCCCCAGGGAGCTTGTCTATGCCCCTGGTGCCTGTCTCCTCACCTGTGACAGCCCCAGCGCCAATCACTCCTGCCCTGCAGGCAGTACTGATGGCTGTGTCTGTCCACCAGGCACGGTGCTGCTGGTGAGTCCAAGAAGGAGCTGCGTGGGGGAACAGGATGGCCTTCCTTAAGCCAGGGCACTGCCCTGCTCCCCTCGCACCCCTACATGGTGCCCTTTGTCCCTGCCCTCTGCCCAGGACGAGCGCTGTGTGCCTCCTGACCTCTGTCCCTGCCGTCACAGTGGGCAGTGGTACCTGCCCAACGCCACCATCCAGGAAGACTGCAACGTTTGGTATGCCCAGCTGCCGTGACCTCTAACCCTTTGACCTTGTGGCCCATGGCTCCCCACACATCATCCTTCCCTCCACCAGAAGGGGTCGGGGTGGTGGGGGCTGGGGTATCCAGACTGGCCTGGGCCAAGGGAACCCTGCAGGACCCCACCACGCTGAGGGCTGCTGAGATTGCCTGGAACCTGGACCAGCTGCCTTCCCTGGATCCAGCCCCCAGGGCCCTATCCTCGGTGACTCTGTTTCCCCCACCTTGCCCATAGCGTGTGCCGGGGCCGGCAGTGGCACTGCACAGGCCAGCGGCGCAGTGGGCGGTGCCAGGCATCAGGCGCCCCCCACTATGTGACATTTGACGGACTGGCCTTCACCTATCCTGGGGCCTGCGAGTATCTGCTGGTGCGAGAGGCCAGTGGCCTATTCACAGTCTCTGCCCAGAACCTGCCCTGTGGGGCCAGCGGTCTCACCTGCACCAAAGCGCTGGCCGTGCGTCTGGAGGGCACTGTTGTGCACATGCTCAGAGGTGGCTGCAACATTGAAGGGTGACATTGCCAGGGAGGGGCACACCTGTATGGCTTCCCAGCTGTGCAAGGTGGGAGGGGGCGGGGTTCCCTGTGTCTGCTCACTGCTGGCCAGCTCCTTACTGGGCTTGGCTGCCCTCCATGCCATGGGGTTGGTGCCTCTCCTCTTGGTTGGGACTCAATACCAGAAGCCTCCCAGAAATTAAGTCCCAGAGAAGTCTAATGATGTGCCCAAGGTCACACAGGTAGAGAAGCAAAAGAAGGGCTGGACAGGGGAGCTAGAGAGCCTCATGAGGATCTGGAGGACCCTTTCCTCCAGGCTGGGCCTGAATGCCTTTCTTCCTCTACAGGCCGGGCAGTGACGGTGAATGGGGTGAGCGTGACGCCCCCCAAGGTCTACACAGGCCCTGGGCTGAGCCTGCGTCGTGCTGGCCTCTTCCTGCTGCTCTCGACCCACCTGGGCCTCACCCTGCTCTGGGATGGAGATCAGGCCCCTGCCCTCCCTCAACCATTGGACCTGTGCCCCGCCTTAGCACCATAGGGTTGAACTCACCCCAACTTCTTTCTCCCAACGCCTGACCCTCCCTCCTCCTGGTCTCCCTCCACTGAGCCCCTGACACCTCCACAGGGCAGATTTCCAGGCTGAGAGCTAAGCTGACAGCCAGGCTAGGACCCTGAGCTCTCACCTTACTTCCCTGCCTGGCTGGCACTTGCCCTGCCCCATGCCCAACCCAGTGCCACCCCTACCTCCCAGTCCATGCAAGAGGTCCGAGTTTCCAAATTAGGTTTTTGGCCAGGTGCAGTGGCTCACAACTGTAATCCCAGCACTTTGGGAGGCTGAGGCGAGCAGATCCCTTGAGCCCAGGGCTTTGAGACTAGCCTGGGTTGAACATGGCAAGACTCCCTGTCTACAAAAAATACAAAAATTAGCTGGGCACGGTGGTGCGCATCTGAAATCTCAGCTACCTGGGAGCTAAGATGGGAAGATTGCTTGAGCCTGGGACGTCAAGGCTGCAGTGAGCTGTGATCACCCCACTGCACTCTGCCTGGGCAATAGAGCGAGAAAAAAATTTTTTTTAAATTAGGTTTTCATAATTATCTTTTTCATCATTATGAAAGCAATCCTTCCACACCAAGGGAAACATTGAGAAAATACCAAGTTTTAGAAAGGCGAAATGAAAATAAATCTCCTAACTTCCCATCACCCATATAAGCAGTTGGCTTATATGTTATATCTAACTGCTTCTGTGGAACTGAGGGAAACCCAGATAACCCCCATATGGACTTGGCTCTGAGCCGCTGGGCCACCCTCCCAGCCTGCCGCCACCGAGGCTGGTGCTGCTGGGCCTCACAGTCCATCCTGGAGTCTGGTTTCCCAGAATCTGACCTGATGGAGAATTTCTCTCCCCCTCAGCCCTTGGCTTGGTGTTAGTTAGGAAAATAGGCTCCTAATTCCTACCTTGAGCCCCCTAAATATAGGTCTCTTCATTTATCATCACCAATCATCCCCCCACAAAAGAGGTAACCATACCCCCTGGTGGGGGTGGCACCTGGTGGTGGTAAAACAGACCCTGGGTCTTCTGGCCCAGATAAGGGCTGGTGAGGTCACTTTTAACCATGCTGCCACCAGGGACTCGGGTCCTGGTGCAACTGTCCCCTCAGTTCCGTGGTCGCGTGGCTGGGCTGTGTGGTGACTTTGATGGAGATGCCAGTAATGATCTGCGGAGCCGCCAGGGCGTCCTGGAGCCCACAGCTGAACTGGCTGCCCACTCCTGGCGCCTCAGCCCCCTCTGCCCTGAGCCAGGAGACCTGCCACACCCCTGCACGGTGAGTGCAGGCGGGAAAGCAGGAAGGGAGGTTCCCAGAGGCAGGGCTGGGGAGGGTGTCCGCTGGTCCACTGTGCTGGAGACGCCACCCTGTGCCTGCAGATGAACACACACCGGGCTGGTTGGGCTCGGGCCCGCTGTGGGGCGCTGCTGCAGCCGCTCTTCACATTATGCCACGCGGAGGTCCCCCCGCAGCAGCACTATGAGTGGTGCCTGTATGACGCCTGCGGGTAAGGAGAGGCCAACCTGGAGTGGGGTAGAGGTGGGGGTGCCGGGACTGAATGCTTCCTCCCACAGCTGCGACTCGGGGGGTGACTGTGAGTGCCTCTGCTCGGCCATTGCCACCTATGCAGATGAGTGTGCCCGGCATGGGCACCACGTGCGCTGGCGTAGCCAGGAGCTCTGCTGTGAGTGTGCCCCGCCCTCAGTCCCCAATGCTAAATCCTGCCACTGCCACAGGCTCAGCTTCTTGAAAGAGCTTCTCCTGTCCCACAAGACGGCCGTTCATTCATTCAAGGGCAAGCTGTGCATCGAGTGCTTACTCTGTGCCAGACACTTTTCTAGATAAGCCATATATGCAAGAACGGCTGCCGAGTAGAGCTGACATGGTACACGTCGGCCCGGGGGGTCTTGCCCAAGGTCTACACCAGACACCCTGTGCCCTCCATGGTGGTCACCTTGGCCAGCCAGCCTGGTGTGGTTGCATCCTTTTGCCCTTGTGCCTCAGTGATCCAAGGCTCTCTCCTCTCCACCCAGCCCTGCAGTGTGAAGGGGGACAGGTATATGAGGCCTGTGGCCCCACGTGTCCCCCCACCTGCCATGAGCAGCATCCTGAGCCCGGGTGGCACTGCCAGGTGGTGGCCTGT
Source organism: Homo sapiens (assembly GCF_000001405.40). Lineage (NCBI taxonomy): Eukaryota > Metazoa > Chordata > Mammalia > Primates > Hominidae > Homo > Homo sapiens. The sequence goes on from NC_000007.14 coordinate 149,788,431, forward strand.
GTGGAGGGCTGCTTCTGCCCCGAGGGGACTCTGCTGCACGGTGTGTAGAGTGACAAAGGGCAGAGGGGAGGGGCACTGAGACTGGGAAGGGGCCACTGTGCCCTTTTGCTCTGAGCCCTGCACTCTGTGACCTCAGGAGGAGCCTGCTTGGAGCCAGCTTCCTGCCCCTGTGAGTGGGGCCGCAACTCCTTCCCGCCGGGGTCTGTGCTGCAAAAGGACTGCGGGAACTGGTGAGTGGGGAGGTCATCTTGGGGGGGACCTATTGAAGGAGCACTGGGCCAAGCCCAGCCTGTGGCTGATCCCAGGACGCTGTGTGCTCAGCACGTGCCAGGAAGGTCAATGGCATTGTGGGGGTGACGGTGGCCACTGTGAGGAGCTTGTGCCTGCCTGTGCAGAGGGAGAGGCCCTGTGCCAAGAGAATGGGCACTGTGTGCCCCATGGGTGGCTTTGTGACAACCAGGACGACTGTGGCGATGGCTCTGATGAGGAGGGTGAGTGTCTTTGCCCATGCGTGGAAGCGACAGGGTTGGTCAGTCCTTGCACATGTAACTGAATTTCCTGGGGCCAAGGCAGCTGTCCTGGAGTGGCTTCTTTAGCTGCTGCTCCCATTGCCAGGGGCTGCCTGTGGCCTGGAGGGATGAGGGGAAGGGAGGGTGTTCTGGTCCCTCTGGGGTTCAGGGCTTCTCTGGGCCCCTACAGCAGCGTCCTGAGCCTGCCTGTTTGCCCCATGCTAGGTTGTGCCGCCCCAGGCTGTGGGGAGGGGCAGATGACTTGCAGCTCCGGCCACTGCCTGCCCCTGGCCCTGCTCTGTGACCGCCAGGATGACTGTGGAGATGGCACGGATGAGCCGAGCTATCCGTGCCCCCAGGGCTTGCTGGCCTGTGCCGATGGACGCTGCCTGCCGCCGGCCCTGCTCTGCGATGGGCATCCTGACTGTCTGGATGCCGCCGACGAGGAGTCCTGTCTGGGTGAGTTGTCCCTGCCCTGGACGCCAGCCCACCCAGCACTCCCTCCCGCAAGGCCCATCTCCTCAAGAGCCCCGACTTCACCTCCCCGCTCCTTTGCCAGGTTCCTGCTATGAAGTTGGTCCTGAGGGTGTGGGAGTTGGGGCACCCCAAACAGTAAGAGTACAGGGCAGTGCCCCAGAGCCAGTTCTTCTTTTCTGTGCAGGGCAGGTGACCTGCGTCCCCGGGGAGGTGTCCTGTGTTGATGGCACCTGCCTGGGGGCCATCCAGCTGTGTGACGGAGTCTGGGACTGCCCAGATGGAGCCGATGAGGGGCCGGGACACTGCCCCCTACCTTCTCTGCCCACACCTCCTGCCAGCACCTTGCCTGGCCCCTCCCCAGGCTCCCTGGACACTGCGTCAAGTCCCCTGGCCAGCGCCAGCCCTGGTGAGTCTCCTGGAGGGAAGAGGTGGGAAAGCTGGTGGCCAGAAGCCTGGGGGAGAGGGGCATGGAAGCCTCAGAGAGAGGCATTTGTGGCGCTGCTCTGGGATGGGAAGGAGCAGGGCGCAGTGGGAGACACCCGAAGACGCTGGAATGAATGAAGTGGAGGGCGTTTGAAAGAGTCTACACTCTTTCCTGGCGTTCAAGGCCTCCCTCCCAGCTGCAGGGAGTCTCATGGAAATTCTTGGCCCAGGGGAGAGCTTTGGGAAAACCAACCGGGCAGCAAAATGCAGAGGGATTGTTCTCGGGAAGGGGCTGCAGGTGGGTTAGGGCCAGGCCCAGGAAATGGCCAAGGGACTTGGACCAGGGAGGGGAGCAGCGGCGGAGGTGGAAGGACTGACCCGGGCGCGGTTGCGGGTGGGAGGGCGCTCGCCGGCAGAGGATCCAGCGCGGACGCTCCCTGCAGCGCCACCCTGCGGCCCCTTCGAGTTTCGGTGCGGCAGCGGCGAGTGCACCCCGCGGGGCTGGCGCTGCGACCAGGAGGAAGACTGCGCCGACGGCAGCGACGAGCGCGGCTGCGGAGGGCCCTGCGCGCCGCACCACGCGCCCTGCGCCCGCGGCCCTCACTGCGTGTCCCCCGAGCAGCTGTGCGACGGCGTGCGGCAGTGTCCCGACGGCTCGGACGAGGGCCCCGACGCCTGCGTTGAGGCTCCCGCGCCCCCGGCCATGCGCGGCCCCCCTGGCCAAGCCGGCGGGCCCACCTCTTCCCGAGCGCCATCCCCACCTTCGCCTCCTGAGGCACAGGTGGGCGCGGCAGCTAGAGTGATTTAGGTTTGGGGGCATCCGAGGCTGGGCCACGTTTGCGTTCCTTTGATCTTTTTCGTGAAACTTTATTTGAAAAGTTTTTACCCTCCCACCTAGGCCCAGGAGAGCGAAGAAAGGGGCTTTGTCTTTCCCCACACTTGGCCAAGAAGGGATAAGAGGGTGGGCAGAGGCTCTGCGGGGATGAGGAGTGTGTCTGTTTGGAGGGATCCCGCCCTCAGCATTTCCCCACCAGACCTGAGCAGACCCTCTGTGTCACTGCAAGCCAGCCCTTCAGGTCCTGTCTACCTCCCCCTATAGCGAGCTGTCCACAGGCCCCCCAGCTCCTCCCAGGCTGGCCTGTCTGGCCGCCTCCCACCCGCCTTTCTGCCCCTCTGCAGGGAGAGGGCAGGAAGGGACAGGAGCGGAGCAGGACACATCTCACAGTGCCCGCAGGCTCCACCCAGCTGCCTCTGTGCCCTGGCCTCTTTCCCTGTGGTGTGGCTCCGGGGCTGTGCCTGACCCCTGAGCAGCTCTGTGATGGGATCCCAGACTGTCCCCAGGGCGAGGACGAGCTGGACTGCGGTGAGGATGCTTTGTTCCCTGAGGGAGGCCCCGCTGGCTGGGCCCGGGACACAGCTCACACCCCCCGCTCACTGTGTTTTTTCTCCTCTTCTTTCCCAGGGGGGCTGCCAGCCCTGGGAGGCCCCAACAGGACAGGGCTTCCCTGCCCAGAATACACCTGCCCCAATGGCACCTGCATAGGCTTCCAGCTGGTGAGGGTGGGAGTGGGTGGAGGAGGCGGCAGTGCCATGTTGCCTCCCAGCACAAGAGCCCTGACCCCACTCCCTCCCCAGGTGTGTGATGGGCAGCCTGACTGTGGAAGGCCAGGGCAGGTGGGCCCCTCCCCAGAAGAGCAGGGTTGTGGGGCCTGGGGCCCCTGGAGCCCATGGGGGCCCTGCAGCCGGACGTGTGGGCCCTGGGGCCAGGGCCGGAGCCGCCGCTGCTCCCCACTCGGCCTCCTGGTGCTACAGAACTGCCCAGGGCCTGAGCACCAGTCTCAGGCCTGCTTCACGGCAGCCTGCCCAGGTGAGGGGCTGGGGTGGTGGGGCCTGGATAGAGGAAGGGAGAAGAAGGCCACTAGGCCTTCAGCCCTCCCCCATGGTCCTCACTGCCTGCCCTGTCCCCCTGCCTCACAGTGGACGGTGAATGGAGCACCTGGTCCCCCTGGTCTGTGTGCTCTGAGCCGTGCAGGGGCACCATGACGCGGCAACGGCAGTGCCACTCACCCCAGAATGGGGGCCGCACCTGTGCTGCACTGCCCGGAGGCCTGCACAGCACCCGCCAGACCAGTGAGTTGAAGAGAGGATGGTGCTGCTGGTGGGAGGCCATCCTCTCTGCAGAGCTCCCTTCCCTGACCTCTGACCTCTGCTTCCGGCTTCTCTCAGAGCCTTGCCCTCAGGACGGCTGCCCCAATGCCACTTGCTCTGGGGAGCTGATGTTCCAGCCCTGTGCCCCCTGCCCACTGACCTGTGATGACATCTCTGGCCAGGTCACGTGCCCACCTGATTGGCCCTGCGGCAGCCCGGGTAAGGGGGCTCTGGGCCCAGGTGCTGGCTCCAGGGTGTGGGTCTGTGGCAACAGCCCTCTGCATGGAAGCCTCACCCTGGGCCCCCTCTAGGCTGCTGGTGCCCAGAAGGGCAGGTGCTGGGCAGCGAGGGGTGGTGTGTGTGGCCCCGGCAGTGCCCCTGCCTGGTGGACGGTGCCCGCTACTGGCCTGGGCAACGCATCAAGGCCGACTGCCAGCTCTGCATCTGCCAAGACGGACGGCCCCGACGCTGCCGACTCAACCCGGACTGCGCTGGTGAGGCCCTTCCCTCGGGGTCCCTAGTCCTCTCCCTGGACCGCCCAGCTGCACATCCACCACCTCCTTCAGGCTCTGACTGTTGGCCCTCCCTCAGTGGACTGTGGCTGGTCCTCCTGGTCACCCTGGGCCAAGTGCCTGGGCCCCTGTGGAAGCCAGAGCATCCAGTGGTCCTTCCGGAGCTCCAACAACCCCCGCCCCTCCGGCCGAGGTCGCCAGTGCCGTGGCATCCACCGCAAGGCACGCAGGTGCTCTGTTCCCCACCCACCGGGGGACCTGCAGGGACCTTGGCCCGCACCCCACCTCCCACTTAGGAAGCTTCCTGTGTGCCCCTTCCACATCCACCACACATCCCCAATTCGGAACCCCTGCCCTGTGCCCCTACCCGTCTAAATCCCGGGAGTCCCGGAACCTCTTTGGGGACCCCTGGCCTTTCCCTTCTCTAGTTTTATGCCCTCTAGGTCTTGAAGGTGGGTAGACGGAGCCCGCAGATGCAGCTTCACAAACTCAGCTTGAATTCCTGGGCTGAGGCTTGCGGGGGGCTCTTGCCATAGCTGCCTCCCCAGCCCCCTCTGGGACCCACGGCGCTGGCTGCAGTGCTGGTACAAATTGCTTCCCTGGCCTTCTTCTGGGCCAGTTGCAATGTCTCAGGTGTAGGGGCAGAGTGGGCTGATAGGGTGACCAAATGTCTCAGTTTGCCCAGGACTTCCTCAGTTTTATCACAGAAAGTCCCAAGTCCTGGGAAAGTCCTCAGTCCAGGCGAACCAGGAGAGTTGTTTACCCCAAGCAAGCCCCGTCACCAGGCCAGGGACATCCCTCCCTTCTCAGGTGCCAGACGGAGCCCTGTGAGGGGTGTGAGCATCAGGGCCAGGTCCACCGTGTCGGGGAACGCTGGCATGGGGGCCCCTGCAGGGTGTGCCAGTGTCTGCACAACCTCACCGCACACTGCTCACCCTACTGCCCGCTCGGCAGCTGCCCCCAGGTGAGGGCACTGGAGTGTGTGGTGGGCAGAGCTGGAGGGGATGGGGAGGCTGGTGGAATGGGTTGGAGATAGGCAGGCGGCCTGACCTCTGTGCCTCTGCAGGGCTGGGTCTTGGTGGAGGGGACGGGAGAATCATGCTGCCACTGTGCCCTACCTGGTGAGTGTGCCTGGGGCATGACAGGGAAGTCCCAGGGGGAGGACAATCGGCAGGGTCTCTGAGAGGGAACCAGGGGCACTGAGCGGGGGTGGCTGGATACCCCAGCCTCAGGGTGGCAGGAAGCCTGAGTTCTGCATGCCAAGGGAAGGAGGGGACCTCGGGGTGCGAAGGCTTCTCTCTGCCCTCCCTCTCCGTCCGCCCTGCCTTCCTGTGCTTTGGGGGCTTTCTGCCTCCCCCATGGTGCCACCTTTGAGGTGCTCTCTTTCCTCTGTTTCTGCTCAGATCTGGTTGCTCTGGTTGCTTTTCTTTCCCTCTTAGAATAGCCAAGACAAAGTTAAGTTGGACTTTTCAAAAGTATCTTTGCCTGGAAAGGAGTTATAAGTGAAACGGGAAAATACAAAGGCTTGAAATGGATGCATTTATGGGTCCAGGTTTTCCGTCTTGTCTTGTCTTGTCCTGTCCTGTCCTGTCCTGTCCTGTCCTGTCCTGTCCTGTCCTGTCTCCTCTTCTTTTCTTTCTGACAGGGTCTCACTCTGACCCCCAGGCTGGAGTGTAGTGGTGTGATCTCGGCTCACTGCAACCTCTGCTTCCTGGCTTCAAGCGATTCTTATGCTTCATCCTCCCGAGTAGCTGGGGTTAGACATGCACCACCATGCCCAGCTAATTTTTGTATTTTTAGCAGAGACAGAGTTTTGCCATGTTGATCAGGCTGCCCCATTCTTATCCTAAAAGTGCATCCACAGGTTGCTGAGGTTAAAACAGAACCAGCATACTCAGCTGCACAGGTTGTTCACTGTACAAGTTAGCTGGTGATTGGGACCCAGACTCCAGCCCACAGAGCTGCTTTCATCCAGAGGCAGCCCCTTTCTAATGCCCATGAAGGTGCCTTTTTGGTGTCAGCACCCCTGGATTAGGAACTGCAGTTGCTGGGTCCTGGGCTGAAAGTAGTTTCAGGCTGGCAGTTTTACTCTATGTTCTCTAAATATTCAGTAGATGTGAAAGCCCCCAATTCACACCAAGGGAAGGAGGAGGGACCTTTCCCAGCTAGGAGGTTGTTCCTGGGAAGTCAGCAGGGAGAAAATGCTCTAAGAAGTGGGGAGAGGCCTGAGTGCTGGGCTGGGGACTGTGAGCCTCTCGGTCTCTGTCTCCTGACCCTGAAGTCTCCTCCCACAGGAGAGAACCAGACGGTCCAGCCCATGGCCACTCCTGCCGCAGCTCCGGCTCCCAGTCCCCAGATCAGATTCCCTTTGGCCACTTACATTCTGCCTCCGTCAGGAGGTAAGGGCCATGTGCTATGGAGTGCAGTGCTGAGAGGGGCCATGCTGCCCAGGGGTTGTCCAACCTGGGAGGGGAAACAGGCCCTCGGGGACATCCTCCTTGCCCTGCACACTGTGGATGGTTGTCCTAAGGATCTGGGAGTCATCCTATCTTAAGTTGCCTCTCTTGACTCTTCCCTCCCTGGGCTAAAGTCACCCATGTGGACGTTTCACATCCCCTAGCTCCCCATGCGACTTCCTAACCGTGTCCCTGCAGGCTCCTGCCGCCCTCTGTCCTCCCCTACTCCAGCCTGTCTCTCTCTTCTGCACCCAGACCCCTGCTATTCTCCCCTGGGGCTGGCCGGACTGGCTGAGGGGAGTCTGCATGCATCGTCCCAGCAGCTGGAACACCCCACCCAGGCTGCCCTCCTGGGGGCTCCCACCCAGGGGCCCAGCCCTCAGGGATGGCACGCTGGAGGGGATGCTTATGCCAAGTGGCACACTCGGCCCCATTACCTGCAGCTGGACCTGCTTCAGCCTCGGAACCTCACTGGTCAGTGAGGAGGGCAGTGCTTGAGGGGGAGGCAGTGATGATGGGCGGGGGGCCGGTGTAGCTCCTTCAGCTCTGACCTCTGCTCTTGCCCTGGCCCCTCCCTCCCCAGGCATCCTAGTGCCGGAGACTGGCTCCTCCAACGCATATGCCAGCAGCTTCTCACTCCAGTTCAGCAGCAATGGTCTACACTGGCATGACTATCGTGACCTCCTGCCTGGCATCTTGCCCCTGCCCAAGGTATCACCCGCCCAAGGCCGATGGGGCCAGCAGCCCACCATGCCCTTTTGTGGGTTCCATAGTCTTTGTCCCCAAGGGCCTTCCAGTGTCCCCGAGGGGCATGGCCTGCATTCGATGCTTGTTGAATACCTGGTGAGTAGCAGGGACTGTGCTCTGTGGAGCCGAGGCTTGGGTGCCACTGTCACATGGATGCTGGAAACCATCCAAGTGGCTCAGACTCAGGGCAGGTATGTGAAGCCTGCAAGGGAGAGAGGATGGGGAGACACCAAGTTCACTGAGGGCCTCCGGGAGCCCAGACCCACGCACGTCTTCGTGGAGAGCAGCCTGGGCACAGCCCTGCCCTCAGGGGGTTTGCATCCTTCCCGGAGACAAACCGCACGAAGCGGTAGGAATCAGTCCGTGCTGTGTTAAGTCTTAACTGTTTCAGGAGCACCTGCTCTGTGCCAGGTGCCGAGCCAGGCCCTGGGGACACAGCAGTGAACAGGACCTGGCCTTTGCCCTAGGGGCACCTCCAGCTTAGCGAGAGGAGCTCAGTCCAGGACCAGCCCCCTCCAGCCTTGAGAGGCCCAAATGCCTACTGCCAGGGTGGGGGGCATGGCTCTGGGAGGGGCCGTGAAAACTGGGGAAAAAGTGGGGTCACTCAAAGTCATGAGGTCAGCCTGAAAAAGAGGTGAAGCTCAGTCATCCGCATCCTCTGCTGGCAGCTTTTCCCCAGAAACTGGGATGACCTGGACCCTGCCGTATGGACTTTCGGCCGCATGGTGCAGGCGAGGTTTGTCAGGGTGTGGCCCCACGATGTCCACCACAGCGATGTCCCCCTGCAGGTGGAGCTGCTGGGCTGCGAGCCAGGTACAGGTTGCGCAGGGGTGGGCAGGGCAGGAGAGAGAGGGGCCATGGGAGGAGCCCTCAGCCATACGTCCTCCACACAGGGTCCCCACCGGCACCTCTGTGCCCAGGGGTTGGACTCCGCTGTGCCAGTGGTGAGTGTGTCCTGAGAGGGGGCCCTTGTGACGGTGTTCTGGACTGCGAGGATGGCTCGGATGAGGAGGGCTGTGTGTTGCTGCCTGAGGGCACTGGCAGGTATACTGTGGCCGGCCGTGCAGCTCACGCCCTTGGCCTGGCCTTTGAGGGGACAGCCATGTGGGAGGGGCCCGGCACTGCCTTCACCCCCAAGGTGCCCAGACCCTGCATGCTGAGGAGCTGCAGCCGGGTGCCTTCAAGGCCCTTTCCCACCTGGATTCTAGGATTCCCTGCCTTTCTCATAGTTGAGTCAGGGGTTCTCCAGGTGTGGGCCCTGGACCAGCAGCATCGGCAGCACCTGGAGCTTGTTAGAAGGGCAGGTTCTCGGGCCCGCCCAGACCTGCAGGGGTGGGGTGCAGCAATGTGTGTCTTACAAGCCCCTCAGGTGATTCTAACCCATGGTCAAGTTGGGAGCTACTGTTGGGAACATCGCCTTTGTCCAGCCTCAGTGGGCAGAGTCCTTCCTGAATGCTCACTCCCGCAAAGACCCCAGGCCCAGCAAAAGCACACTGACGCCCCTGCCTGGAAGGGGGGCACTGGTGCTGGGAGGGCCCCTGGAGTCCTTTTGGCTATTTTTCTCCCCAGATTCCATTCCACAGCCAAGACCCTGGCCCTCTCCTCTGCCCAGCCGGGGCAGCTGCTGCACTGGCCCAGGGAGGTGAGTGTAGAGCCTTGGGCCCAGAGGGTGGAGTGGGGGGACGGGGACCTCGCCTCACAGCCTCACCAGCCCTGCTCCTGCACCAGCTGGCGGCGTCTCCCCTCTCCGCAGCATTTCCTCCTGTGTGTTCCCTGGTACTGCTCTCAGGAGCCTTGCCGGTGCCTGGCTGCAGAGACGTGCAGGCAGAGCGAGGGCCCAGAGGGGTTTGGGGACAAGAGAAGCCTGCACCCCTGATAGGGAGCTTATGCCCACGGGGCAGGCACCAGGGCATCTGGTGCTCAGAGCCGAAAAGAGCCCTGTGCCCGGGTCCCCAGGGGCTTCCCGGACAAGACTTGAGGGCTGGAGAGGGGTGTCTATAGTGTGGAGAAGGCGCGGAGCACCTTCCCACCTGGAATGGCCTGGTCAGCAACCCAGAGTGTGTGGGTGGGGTAGGGGGTAGGGGGTGGACATGTGCATTGGGTGGGGGAAGGGGAGTTTGAGGGGCAAGAGCTGAAATGGATCACCCTGGTGGGCTGCTGAGAATAAGGTCCCTGAGCTCCTTGAGGGCAGTGGGCTGGTGCCTGGAAGCGCAGTTGCGTGCTCAGCTCTGCCCTGGGCTGCGGGGGAGGAAGATGGACAGGAAGCAGTGCTGGGACTGTGAGCGCCCAGGCTGTATCCTCAGGGGATGGGAGCTGCCCTCAGGGCCGGGGGCTGTGCAGGGTGCTGAGCCCTCTCCCTCTGCAGGGCCTGGCAGAGACTGAGCACTGGCCCCCTGGGCAGGAATCCCCCACGTCCCCGACAGGTGTGTGCACAGACTCCAGGCCTCCTCCCCAAACTCTTGTCCCACCTGTTCTTCCAGAGCCAGGGGCCGTTACATCTCAGGGGTTCAAATCCCATGACCCCTGACTTCCCCACAACCAAGAGAGTCACGGGGTTGGCTCAGGGAGGAGACACTGGTCACTTTGGACATGGCCAGGTCCTGCCCCTGCCCACCCCCTGGGATTCCAAGGTATGTGGCTGTAGGTTGGCGGGGCAGGTAGCTCCAGGCCAGCTCCCAGGACTGAGCCTGTGCCCTGTAATGTGGCTGCCTCTCCAGATGCCTGGTCAGGACAGGTCTCCCCCATGGGGGTGGGAGGCCACTTGGCTCCAGCCTGCACTCTCTCTGCTCACCATCCATGGAGCCAGGCCCCCCTTTCTGAAGCGTTTGCTGGCATCAAATGTCTCTTAAGTGGGCACGGGGGTTGGATGTGGTCACCAAGTTGGCATGCTCCTATATAAGGAAGGAAGAGGCTCTGCCTGGTTGTGAACCGGCCTCCCTGGAGCTACCTGATTATTCACCTGTGTGCTAGCCAGCAGAGAGCTGCCTCCTGGAGGGCCTGCTGTCCTGCGGGGATGAGGGGGTGGTAAGAGGGCTTTTGGTGTGGGTGAATTCTTGCCCTCATTTCTAGCCCCTATGGGAGGGATCTGGGTGAGGCTTGGGGCAGCAGGGGCTGGAGAGGAAGGAGGGTGAGGGCACCAGGTCTGCTCTTTCATTCTGGCTCATCCTCCCCTGGGCCTCAGCTTTTCCCCATCTGTGACACTAGGAGGCCTTATAGACAACTGTGGCCCCTCCCTGTGAGTTCTGATGGAAGTTATTCAGAACCTGGCCGGACTGTTTCTGTGTCTTTTGTGAAAAGCAGACAAAGCAATTGATGCCACCCCTCAGATCCATAACATGCAGACCCATGGGATACATTATAATTTCATTCTCAGTCTGGTTAAAAAAAAAAAAAAAAGGCTGTCTTTGAATGCATCTCTTGCCAGAAAATGAGACTTTTAACCCTTTTCACTGTAGCTGCCAGGAAGCCCAAAATCAGTTTGTTGTTGTTGTTGTTGTTGTTGTTGTTTGTTTACAACAGAAACAATGAACTCACCCTGGGTCTCTGGTAGTGTTTACTCCCTCTGCTGCTGTGTTAAAATGACCTCAGTTCTTTGTCTCCCTAAATATCGTATTTTATGGTGAGTTTGAACTTGAAAGTTGCCATGTGTTTCTTCTTGGGAATAGAATAAAAATCTCAGATCAAAACAAGTCTTCTACTTTCAGCCAAAGCCCTTCCTGTGCTCCTTGGATTTTTTTGATGCAAGGCCTCTCAGAAGGCATCAATTGCTTTGTCTGCTTTTCACAAAAGACACAGAAACAGTCCGGCCAGGTTCTGAATAACCTCCATCAGAACTCACAGGGAGGGGCCACAGTTGTCTATAAGGCCTCCTAGTGTCACAGATGGGGAAAAGCTGAGGCCCAGGCAGGTGGCACGGTGAGGCCCAGGGGAGGATGAGCCAGAATGAAAGAGCAGCCCTGGCACCCTCACCCTCCTTTCTCTCCAGCCCCTGCTGCCCCAAGCCTGGTCCGCAGCACCTGTGATTTACTCTGCACCACCCAGAAGCCTGGGATACCCTCTCGAGGGCCCCCACCTTCCTTTCCTGGGAAGGGGAGCTGGGCAAGCCTCACCTCCCTCTACCTACACCCACAGAGACAAGGCCCGTGAGTCCTGGCCCAGCCTCCGGGGTGCCTCACCATGGGGAATCTGTGCAGATGGTGACCACCACCCCCATACCCCAGATGGAGGCCAGGACCCTGCCACCAGGTATGGCAGCTGTGACGGTGGTGCCCCCACACCCTGTGACTCCAGCGACCCCTGCTGGTAAGATGCCAAGCCCTTCTACCTGTGTGCAAGGCCTCTGTAAGCCCACCTTCCTTGTGAGGGGGACAGAGGCCCTTTGTTCAAGGTCACACAGCTCAAGGTCATTTTGGGGAGGACTGAGTTTCCTAGCCCAGTTTACCCTTTTTCTATTATCCCAAGATAGGCAGAGTGAGGCATAGCAGATGCCAAGAGGAGGGAGCTTGGGGGCTTCAGGGAGGTGACGAAGGAGAAAGGACAGGGCAGGCCAAGTGACTGGTCAGCCGGCTGTGGTGGTGCCCACAGGCCAGAGCGTCGCCCCAGGACCCTTCCCACCTGTGCAGTGTGGCCCCGGCCAGACGCCCTGTGAGGTGCTGGGCTGCGTGGAACAGGCGCAGGTGTGTGATGGCAGGGAGGATTGCCTCGACGGCTCCGACGAGAGGCACTGCGGTGAGCTGCTGGAGGGCCTGCTGTCCTGTGGGTAGGGGGTGGCACTTATCCTTCAGTGTAGGAAAGTGTCTGCCCTCATTTGTAGCTCATATTGGAAAGGATCTGGGGGAGGCTTGGGCAGCAGGGAATGGAGAAAATGGGTAAAAACAGGAGTGTGTGTGTCTTTGGGGGTGGTCAAGACCGGGAATAGGATAGGCCTTGGGTCTCAGCCTATTTTATAAAACCTGTTTGACCTTTGAAGAGACTCATCTACTCACTCACCCATCCAACATTCTACCTATCCCTCTATCTATCCATCCATCAACCACCCATCCATCCGTCTACCCATCCTCCCATCCACTAATCCACCCACTCACCCACCCATCCATCCATCCACCCACCCACCCACACTCCCACCCCCCACCCCCCACCCCCCACCCCTCTATCCATGTATTCATCAGCCACCTATCAACCATCTGTCTACTCACAAATCTATCCATCAATCCATCCACCCATCCAGCCAGCCACCATGCATCTATCTACCCATCCATCCATCTATTCACCCGTCCATCCATCAATCCATCCATCCATCTCAATCCACCTACCTACCCCTCTATCCATGTACTCATCAGCCACCCATCCATCCATCCATCCACCCACCCATCCATCCACCCATCCATCCATTCATCTATCCACCGACCCCTCTATCCATTCATCTATCAGCCACCCATCCATCCACCCATCCATTCATCCATCCATCCGACACCCACCCATGCATCTATCAGCCACCCATCCATCCACCCATGGATTCATCTACCCACCCCTCTATTCATCCATTCATCAGCTACCCATGCATCCACCTACTCACTCATCTACCCATCCATCCATCCACCCATCCATCCATTCACTCACCTACCCATACACCCATCCATGCATGCATTCATCCACCTATCTATCCACCCATCTATCCATCTACCCACCCATATATCCATCCATTCATTTATTCATCCATCCATCCATGCAAAGTAGATCACTATGATCAAAGCTTAGTCTTCCAATCATGACCAAAGAAATCCAATGTTAATCAGTCACAAGAAGAGCCACCCCAGGGAGTATGCATTCAGGAATAAGGTACCTAAGCATCTAGAATCTCTGTGTGAGAGCTTGTGTAGACCCAAGACTCCATGATCTCACCAACACATAGTGGAAGGAAGCCTGCTCTGGGCATGGGATGCAGGAGGCATCAGGAGGAAGGGGAGGCCAGGGGCTCCAGTCAGCAAGCTCACTTTGGCTCTTGGCTTGAGAAGGGGCTGAGTGTATCATTCAGCCAGGAATCTACTTATGTGGCTCCCTTCTCTCCCTGCCTTGTGGGCAGCGAGCACTGTGCCCTTCATGATGCCTACCATGGCCCTGCCTGGGCTTCCAGCCTCAAGGGCCCTCTGTTCCCCGAGCCAGCTGAGCTGTGGCAGCGGGGAGTGTCTGTCTGCTGAGCGGCGCTGTGACCTGCGGCCTGACTGCCAGGATGGCTCGGACGAGGATGGCTGTGGTATGTGCCAGCCAGGGCAGGGGTAGCCCTGAGGGCCCCCTCCTGCATGAGCCCCTCTGAGCCCCGGCCCCCATGCCCCTGCAGTGGACTGCGTGCTGGCCCCCTGGTCTGTCTGGAGCAGCTGCAGCCGCAGCTGTGGCCTGGGCCTCACCTTCCAGCGCCAGGAGCTGCTGCGGCCTCCTCTGCCAGGGGGCAGCTGCCCGCGTGACCGGTTCCGAAGCCAGTCCTGCTTTGTGCAGGCCTGCCCAGGTAATCCTGCACTCCAGCCTTCCCTCGGGAAAGCCCCTGCTCCCAGAGGGAGGTGGGGAACCCCCCACCCAGTCTCCTCAGGAACCTTCAGGTGTGAAACCTGGGGTGGGTTTCCATCTGAGAGCCTCCCGGCTGGCCCTGCCCTCCTTTCCTACCTGAGCCAAGACTCAGGTTCTTGTGTATAGCCTGGAAATAATGGTCATTCCTGCCTCAGAAGGCACTGGAAGGATTAAGGGAGATGGTGTGTGGGGGTGTTTGGAGCCAGGCCTCATGTGTCAGCCAGCTGTGCCACTTGTCCCTGGGTGCCATGCGGAAGGCCTTGTCACTCTTTTATTCCATCGATCCAAGGGAGTGGCCCTCACCTACTTCTGTGCATGGCAGAGAGGGGCTTCCCACACAGGGGCCTCTTTCAGTCCCACCCTGGCTCCTCCCTGGCTGTGGTGGCCCTACAGCTGCCATCAGGGCTGCTCTCCCCAGGATCCCTGCAGTCCCGGCCCCTTCCCAGGGAGCAGAGCTTTTGTCCTGGGAGGCACCTAGAGCCCTTTCTCCAGGCACCTGCCACCTAGGGGAGGTTTCCTGGGACAGAAGAGGAGCTGTGGAACACCCAGGGCAGGGCCCTTGGCTGCCTCACTGGCTGCTGCCCAGGCCGGGGGAGGAGGGGAGCGCTGGCTCTGGCCACTCTCTCATAGCCTGTGTCTCCTGGACCCCTCCTGGTGGACCCACATGCTACCTTCCCCAACAGTGGCTGGGGCATGGGCCATGTGGGAGGCCTGGGGACCCTGCAGCGTCTCCTGCGGGGGTGGCCATCAGAGTCGCCAGAGAAGCTGTGTGGACCCCCCACCCAAGAATGGCGGTGCCCCCTGCCCCGGGGCCTCCCAAGAGAGGGCACCCTGCGGCTTGCAGCCCTGCTCAGGTGGCACAGGTAAGGGGGTGCTGGGCTGGGGACACGGAGGGAGCACTGTGGGCACGGGGCGATTGGGCCTCCCAGCACCTAGGCTCACCTGGTGCCCATCCCCCACCAGACTGCGAGCTGGGCCGTGTGTATGTGAGTGCCGATCTGTGCCAGAAGGGGCTGGTGCCCCCATGCCCACCCTCCTGCCTGGATCCCAAGGCCAACAGAAGCTGCAGTGGGCATTGTGTGGAAGGTGAGGCAGACCTGGCCTGCAGGGGGACTGTGGGATGCCCACACAGGCCCACCAGCCCCCAGTCTCCAGCCTCCCCTCCCTGCTGTGCCCCTTGGGGCTGAGTGCCCTCTTCCACATACTCCCAGGATGCCGCTGTCCCCCGGGGCTCCTTCTGCATGACACTCGCTGCCTGCCCCTCTCTGAGTGCCCCTGCCTGGTGGGCGAAGAGCTGAAGTGGCCAGGGGTGTCCTTCCTCCTGGGCAACTGCAGCCAATGGTGAGGGCGGCTGCACCAGGGAGGGCACTGTACCGGGGTCTCCCCAGCCCTGACCGGTTCCTCAGCCTCTCCCTCCCCTGCAGCGTGTGTGAGAAGGGGGAGTTGCTGTGCCAACCAGGGGGCTGCCCCCTGCCCTGCGGCTGGTCAGCCTGGTCCTCCTGGGCTCCCTGCGACCGCTCCTGTGGCTCTGGAGTGAGGGCCAGGTTCAGGTGTGCGACAGGGGTGGACGGCAGTGTGAGAAGGAGTGGTGGGGCCCAGGGAGGCGAGGAGCCAGGCCAGCCCTGAGGGGGCGATAGTGGAAAGATGGTGGACAGGGGATGAAGGATGAAGAAGGCGGGAGTGAGGGCAGGGAGAGAGCAGAGCGGGTGCTCAGGGCTGCCTCTCTCCCCAGGTCTCCCTCCAACCCTCCGGCAGCCTGGGGGGGTGCCCCGTGTGAAGGTGACCGGCAGGAACTGCAGGGCTGCCACACAGTGTGTGGGACAGGTATAGCCGGGAGCCTGGGTGCAGGAGTCCCCCCTTCCTCCTCCCAATTCTGTACCCTGAGAACACATGGGATGGGACCCACTGACCACTCTACGTGGGGGATTGGTAACACCTCCGCAGTCTGAGAGGCAGCCCTTGAACTGGCCTCGGTGGAGGGGCTTTGATGGGGAGAGGCAGAGACTCCCGCCCAGACTGCCTGGGCGCCAGGAGCAGGCTGGCCTGGGTGGAGCAGGCAACTGCAGAGCCGGGCGAGAGAGGTGAGGCTGGTGGGTTGAGGGAGGCCAGCAGCAACATTTAGAGGCCAGATGAAGGTGCCAGATGGTTTCCCTCTTTCCACCTACCGGGTGCTTCTCAGACAGTGCCTGTGCCAGTGGAGGTCTCTGCAGAGCAGGCGCAGCCTCACTGTTGTGCAGGGCAATGGGACGAGGTGGGCAATGGGACGAGGTGGGCAATGGGACGAGGTGGGCAATGGGATGAGGTGGGCAAGGGAGAGGTGGGCAATGGGGAAGAAAGAGGAGTGGGGGAGGGGAGGGGGAGAGAGGCAGGGTGCATCCAGGGGGTCTGGGCCAGGCTCTTGCAGTAGGAGGGAAAGAGGGGCCAGTGGAGAGTGGCCGGTGGGACACTGACAGTTTCCACAGGGACTCTTAATCAGTTTCTGGCATAGAAGGATCAGGAAGCGTTGATCTGGGGGAAACATGAGGATTGGTGGTGGTCCTGCTGAGGTGCTGTCCGAGTCCAGGAGAGAGATGTGGGAATGTAGTTGAGCCCAGGTTCACAGGAGGCTCTGTGCCTGGCTCCTGAGGGTGAGAAGTGGGGCTGGAGGCCAGGTGCAGTGGCCCACGCCGATAATTCCAGCACCTTGGGAGGCCAAGGTGGGAGGATTGCTTGAGGCCAGGAGTTCAAGACCAGCCTGGGCAACATAGAGAGACCCCATCTCTTAAAAAAAAAAATTAAAAATGTAGCTGGGCATGGTGGCGCATGCCTGTGGTCCCAGCTCCTCGGGAGGCTGCGATAGGAGATCACGTAAGCTTAGGAGGTAGAGGCTGCAGCAAGCTATAAGCATGCCACTGCACTCCAGCTGACAGATCCTGTCCTCAGCCCCCCAGAAAAGCAGAAAAAAGATGGGGCTGGAGAGTGGGGGTCCCAGCAAGTGAGCTGAGAAGGGGCAGAGGCTGCACCCTGAGCCCAGAGCAGCCTCCCTCCTCCTTGTGAGCCCTCTTCTGCCCACCTAGTTTCTCAGACCTAACCCAGGCTCCTCGACCCTCCCCAGCCCTGCCAGTAAAGGCCTTTGCACAAATGGCCTGTCCTGTTCCCCCTCCACAGAGGTGTTCGGCTGGACGCCCTGGACTTCCTGGTCCTCCTGCTCCCAAAGCTGCCTTGCCCCGGGAGGGGGCCCTGGCTGGCGCAGTCGTTCCCGACTCTGCCCCAGCCCTGGGGATTCATCCTGCCCAGGAGATGCCACCCAGGAGGAGCCCTGCAGCCCCCCTGTATGCCCAGGTATTCTCCCTTGGGCCCAGGGGTGGCTCGGATGCTGGGGTGGGATGAGGAGCAAAGAAGAATGCCCCCTTGAGCCGGTTCTAGACATCTGGGAGGGGCCAAGGGTTGGAGCAAACCTGGCTGTTGTCCTTAAGCCTCTCCCACCCCAGCCATCGCGCAGGAAGCCAGCCTGAGTGGTAGACGTAGGTGGGGGCTGGAGGCTGCAGTTAAGACCCTGCAAGCTACACAGCTCCAGCCACACGATGCCCTATCCTGGACTGTTTCTGCCATGCCGGTGTCTGTGACTCTGGATTGGGCTCTTCCTGGCAGTGCCAAGCATCTGGGGTCTGTGGGCTCCCTGGTCCACTTGCTCAGCCCCCTGTGATGGAGGCATCCAGACACGTGGGCGCAGCTGCTCCAGCTTGGCTCCAGGGGACACCACGTGCCCAGGACCCCACAGTCAGACCAGGGACTGCAACACGCAGCCCTGCACAGGTACCAGACTCCCTGCCTATTTTCCAGCAGGCCTCCCTGGCCCAGCTCCTGGGGATTTTGACCTTTTCCCCACCCTCACCTTCGCCCATCACTGCCCTCTGACTCCAGGCCAGGTAATGCCTGGAGCTAAGGGAGCCTGGGATTTCCTGTGTCTCCTCTAGCTCCCTGCCTCTCCCACCTGCCACTGGGGACCAGGTCCCAGCAGCTGTGGCCCCTCAGCCCTTTGCTCTTCTTTGGTGGAGGCAGGCCTCCTTCCCCAGAGAACAGGCTCCCCGAGGGAGGCAGACTGGCCTTCCTCAGGGCAGAACACACTCAGGGCCAGAATCGTGGGGGAGCAGAGCTCGCACTTTGAAGCCCCTGGCCCCTTCCTTACTCTCCCTTGTCCTCTGAGGGCTCCTCCTATCCCAGATGACTGGAGTCCTCATGGTCTGTTCTCAAGAATATTTGTATTAAAGTAGAGCAAAGCCATGGCTGTGTCCTGGTGCCATCCCAGACACTGGAGCAAAGCTGTGAGGGTAGGGGCAGGAGGGGTGGCTTCTCTGGCACAGTCCTGCCCAGTAGCCTGCCGCCCCATGCCCTGCTTGCAGGTTCCCTTCTGCCCCTCTGCCTCCCTTCCCTTCCCATCCCTTCCCGTCCTTCCTGCCCTTGCTGAGACCTGCTTTGTCTTCCTATCCAGCCCAGTGCCCAGAGAACATGTTGTTCCGCTCAGCAGAGCAGTGTCACCAGGAGGGGGGTCCTTGCCCTCGGCTATGCCTGACGCAGGGCCCCGGGATAGATAGAGTGTACGGGCTTCTGCGCCCCCGGCTGCACCTGCCCCCCTGGTCTTTTCCTGCACAATGCTAGCTGCCTGCCCCGCAGCCAGTGCCCCTGCCAGCTGCACGGGCAGCTCTATGCATCAGGAGCAATGGCTCGCCTGGACTCCTGCAACAACTGGTGGGTCACAGCGTGGGGGCAGTGTGGGAGAGGGGCCGGGGATCTAGAGGTGGGCAGGCGTGGGCTCCCTTTCACAAGCACACCCCGTGGTGGGGTGCTCCGTTCCCCAAACACAACACAGCAGCCACGGGTGCCGGGCAGGGTCCTGAGAATATTAGAGCGAGTGGTCATCCCCATTTGACTTATGGGAATATTGGGTCTCAGATCGATGGAGCGATTTATGATAGAACTAGAGATGGCAGAGGGTCTAACCTCTCATCACAGCTTTCTCTGGTTCTCTTTCCTGAATGTAATTTCATACCTGGGATCCACTTGATTTCTGTTCAGAAACATTCAAGTGCCCAGTACCCAAAGCTGACATCAGGATCTGCCAGCAGAGGGTGCTCCAAGCGATTTCCCTCTTTTTTCTTTTTCTTCACTTCATTTCCTTCATTCTTTTTTTGTTTGTTTGTTTGGTTTTTTTGAGATGGAGTCTCACTCTGTCGCCCAGGCTGGAGTGCAGTGGTGCAATCTCAGCTCACTGCAACCTCCGCCTCTCAGCTCACTGCAACCTCCACTTCCCGGGTTCAAGCAATTCTCCTGCCTCAGCCTCCCTAGTAGCTGGGATGACAGGAACCTACCACCATGCCAGGCTAATTTTTGTATTTTTAGTAGAGACGGGGTTTCACCATTTGGCCAGGCTGGTCTCCAACTCCTGACTTCAAGTGATCCACCTGCCTCAGCCTCCCAAATTGCTGGGATTACAGGCGTGAGCCACCGCGCCCGGGCCATTCTTCATTTCCCTCTTACTTTTTACTTTATATACCCTGCCCCTCCTTCGATTTCCTCCTTCTTTATTCTTCCTCCCGCCTGTGCTTTCTTTCTCACTTTTCGTCTCTCCGATCTTTTTCTGGGACCTCCAGTATTTAATAAATAGGCTTTAAAACATGTATTGGAGAGAACAGCAAGTGTGCAGAAGTACCCAGTTCTCCCTCCTAGGAGAACTCCAGCTGTCTCTAAATCCCTCCTACCTGGCCCTGGCCCTCGAGGTCATTTCCCAATAAATACAAATGGATGAGACCTTGGGACAAAGGACAGCGCAGCGCCTGGGCGCTGTGGGGCTCACTGAGGGTGCATCGTGAACTTCGCAGGGGACCTGGGCAGCAAGCTTCACACCCCAGACCCTCGGGTTTGTCTTCTGCAGTGGTCTCAGCTGCTTCCCTGGGGGTAAGGGCTGACTGTGGCCGTGATGGCCAGGTAAAGCCTCACTACCCCCTTTCTCTGCAGCACCTGTGTCTCTGGTAAGATGGCATGCACCTCGGAGCGCTGCCCAGGTACCCCCATGCTTGGGGCACGGGAATTGGGCAGTGGTGGGTCCTCAGGGACCATAGGGGACTTAGGACCCTCCTGAGTTAAACTCCTGGGAGCTCGGTGGTGCCCAGGGAAGTTAGGGTATGAGAAGACTGACCTGGTTTCACACACACTGCCCTCCGCCCCCAACACGCCCTGGCAGTGGCCTGTGGCTGGAGTCCCTGGACCCTGTGGAGTCTCTGTAGCTGCAGCTGCAACGTGGGCATTCGGCGCCGCTTCCGGGCAGGCACTGCACCCCCAGCTGCCTTTGGGGGTGCTGAGTGCCAAGGCCCCACCATGGAGGCTGAATTCTGCAGCCTGCGGCCATGTCCAGGTGAGAGCTGGGACTGAGGTCCTGAGACCTCCTTAACCTTCCAGAGAGAAGCCAAGAAGACTCCCATCACCCCCCACCCTGAACCTCTAGAAAAGTGCAAGAGACTTCATTAAGAGATGCTGCTAAGAGGTTGTCCCCAGAGACTCCTTGAGGGTCCATTCCCTAACAGGGCCCCTCCTCAGAATAGCCCCAGCTTCTCCCTAGAGACCAGCCCAGTTCTAGGCTGAATCCTGGAGCCCCCCACAAGCAGGTGTGAGGCACCTTAAGTGGGATATGACGCTGCAGGTGAAGCGGTGGAGGGGTCCCCAGGGGTGTCTGGGTGGGAGGAGGAGAAGGTGGGGTGGGCATGGGAGGCAGGGCCTGCAGTGACCTGGGCACCACCCCCAGGTCCTGGTGGGGAGTGGGGCCCTTGGTCTCCGTGCTCCGTGCCCTGTGGTGGTGGCTACAGGAACCGCACCCGAGGCAGCAGCTGCGCAGCCTCATGGAGTTTTCCACCTGTGGCCTGCAGCCCTGCGCAGGTGAGGCCTGCCCTGGGGACCCTCCAGTTCTCATTCTTACCAACCCAGGGCACTGTCAACCCCCTGTCTGCCACCCCAGCACAGCCCTGTCCCTCGGCCCTTGTGCAGTCCCCATGACCACCCCACCCATACCCAGAGCTGGTGCCTCTCCCAGGTTGGGAGCTCAGGGGAGAGCTGAGTGCTCTGGGGCTGGGCTGTCAATTTCTATGTCCCCAGGGCCAGTGCCTGGCATGTGTCCCAGGGACAAGCAGTGGCTGGACTGTGCCCAGGGCCCTGCCTCTTGTGCAGAGCTCAGCGCCCCAAGAGGGACTAACCAGACCTGCCACCCTGGCTGCCACTGCCCCTCTGGGATGCTTCTGCTGGTGAGTGTCCCCCTGCCTGGCCCCAGAGAGGCCTCTGTACAGCCTGGGGACCATGGGGTGGCAGGGAAGGGACAGGCAGGATCTGGACAGCGAAGAACATAGGGTATGGGGCTAGAGACAGGGAGACCCTGCAAGGTTGAGGAAAGGGTACTAAACTCATGGGTTACAACTCAGCTCCGGCAGGAACCAGCAGGGGATCCTGGGCAGGTCTCATCCCTCTCCCCCTAATCTCTGTTTCCTCACTGGTAAAAATGGTGATAGGTCTAGAAGATCTTTGTGAATTGTCCCTGCTCAACTGCTCTGTCCACTATGTTATCACCAGTTATTTATCGAGCACCTACAGTATGTTAGTCTCTGGCTGAGCTATTCTGTAGGGAAGGAGTAGTCTCTGCCCTCAAGAAGCATCCAGTCTGGGGAAACCAGACCCAGAGTCCCTAAAATGAAGCTAGAACCATCAGACGGGCAGGAAGTGAGCTTTGCACATTGTGGAGTGGAGTGGAGTGGGCTGGGTCAGCCATGGAGGGCTCCCTGTAGGAGGTGATCCTGACTTGAATATCAGAGATTGGAGGGTGTGGAGAGTAGGGAGGCATGGAGGGCTTCCTGAAGGAGGGGGTCCTGCACTTGAAGATCCAAGATTGGAGAGCAGAGAGGTGGCCACTCTAGTCAGAGGGTGGTAGGAATTGGGGCTAGGAAATGCCGGCTGTGTGGTGGGATTGAACAAAGCCGTGGGGTGTGGTTAAGGGACACGTTGTAATCATATCTGAGTCCAAATCAGGCTCTTTTACTGGTAGCCCTGCGAGCTTGGGGATAGTATTCCCGTGCCTCAGTTCCTTCCTTTGTAAAATTGGGGTAAAATTACAGCCAGTCACAGGAGTCAGTGAGACGGTGCAGGGAAAGGGTTTCCCAGGCCCTGGCCCGTAAACTTCAGTGCGTTCGACTTTGAATCATGCGCCACAAGACAGTTGTTTCTTTTAAATCTGAAGGACTTCTGTCCAGATTCCCTGTGCACAATGTTTTTCTGTTTTTATTTTGTTGATGAAAATGTGTCTTTTCCTACCATTGCTGTACAAATTGCATATTTCATGTTTTCATGGCTGACTTCATGGGGATTCGACAGTTCAGTCTCATGTCCTGCAATTTTTAAGATGGTCTTTTTCTCCTAGAAATTGGAGGGTCCACGTCCCCACGTCCCCACGGCCCCCAAGCCGATGGTCCGCATTTGCCTGGCAGGAGGGCAGAGGGGAGAGCTGCATGTCTGTGGAAGGAGAGTGGCTGGGTTTTAAGGGGGAGCTTGAGGATTGCATGCTGGCTCTGACCAGGGTGGGGAGCCCAGGCCCAGCCCATCTGGAGCCAGAAGATGATAGAGGGTTTCGATTCCAGAACAACGTGTGTGTGCCCACCCAGGACTGCCCCTGTGCCCACGAGGGGCACCTCTACCCCCCGGGCAGCACTGTGGTTCGTCCATGTGAAAACTGGTGAGACACCGCCCCCATCCCATTATGGCCCTGTGACCTCTGACGACCTGCTGTCCCTCCTCAGAGGCAGGGATTTTGGCTCCAGTCGGGGACAGAGACACATGTGCCCCCCACCCCCAGCCCCTCGGCACAGCCGTCCAGCCCTCTGAGGCTGCACCCTCCTGCGCCCCTCCCTCCCCCTGTCCCCCACCTGTTTTCCCTCTCCCCACCTGTGTTAGCCTCCTGGGGCTGCTGCCACCGAGTGCCATGCACTGGGGAGCTAGAGCAGCGGCCCCTGATGGTCTCACAGATCCTGGAAGCCCAGGATCAAGGTGTTGGTGGGTGGGCTCCTTCTGAGGGCTGCAAGGGAGACTGTTCAAGGCCTTACTCCTCTTCTGGGAGTTTGCTGGAAATCGTTGGCACTCCTTGGCCTGTAGGTGGCCTTCTCCCTATCTCTTCATGTCATCTTCCCTCATTTTCTCTTTTATAAAGGACATAAGATGCATTAAAACTAGGGCCACCTCAGTGACCTCCTTTTAACCTGATCACCTCTGTACAGACCTCATCTCCAAATAAGCTCCCATTCCCAGGGACTGGGGGCCAGGACTTGAACTTGAGGGTTTGGGGGGCCACAATGCAGCCCATAGACCAACCAACCCTCTGCTGCTCCCCACAGCTCCTGTGTCTCCGGGCTCATCGCCAACTGCAGCTCCTGGCCTTGTGCGGAGGGTAAGGAAGCGTCCCCACTTCTGACTTGCACCTCGGCTCCCCCATCCCTCAGCTGCAGGAGTGGGCCAGGGCTGAGACTGGGGGAGGAAAGCCATCAGGAGAGATGGGGGGCAGAGGCACCATGCTCCATCTTCAGCCTGTCCAGCCTGTGCCTGTCCCCCTCCTGCCTGCCCGCCTCCTGGATATCCCCTAGGTGAGCCCACGTGGTCACCCTGGACCCCTTGGAGCCAGTGTTCAGCCTCCTGTGGCCCTGCCCGGTGCCATCGGCACCGGTTCTGTGCCAGGTCCCCCAGTGCAGTGCCATCCACCGTGGCTCCGCTGCCCCTGCCAGCCACCCCCACACCTCTCTGCTCAGGCCCCGAGGCTGAAGAGGAGCCATGTCTCCTGCAGGGGTGTGATCTTGAGTGCCTGCCTGCCCTGCCCGCCTGGACCCTCCTGGGGAGCCCAGGGTGGTGCCCACTGTACGCTGTGGATGCTGCTGCCTTGTACCAGCTGTGCCCTGGCCCCAGCCAAGCCCCTCCTCACTCCTTCCTCTGCTGTGTCCCCAGGAGCTGGGGGATGGGGTCCATGGGGGCCCTGGTCCCACTGTAGCCGGAGCTGTGGGGGAGGCCTGCGGAGCCGGACCCGGGCCTGTGACCAGCCCCCACCCCAGGGCCTGGGGGATTACTGCGAGGGGCCACGGGCACAGGGGGAGGTCTGCCAGGCTCTGCCCTGCCCAGGTACCTGCCAGGGATGGGGGTGGGGGTCAGGGACAGAGGAAGGGGAGTTAGAGGAAGCATTCCAGGGAGAGAGGCCAGGGTGGATGGCCCCACACAGTTCTCAGCCCATCCTGTTTGCCCTCAGTGACCAACTGCACTGCCATTGAAGGGGCCGAGTATAGCCCCTGTGGCCCTCCGTGCCCTCGCTCCTGTGATGACCTAGTGGTGAGTCCCAGCTCCCTTGGCACTGCCACCTGACCCAAGGCCCACTTTGCGGGAGGGCAGGGTGTGGATTTGGGCTCACGGCCTCTTTGGCTGGGGCCTGGACAGCCCAGCACAGGAAGGCACGGGTGGGGGCCCTGGTTTCAGTTCACAGAGCATGCCAGGCCACCCCAGAGAGACACCAGCCTCTCTCCGCACAGAGCCAGCCTCACCTGACAGCCTTTGTCTGTAGATCAGACATTTCTCACATTAAAGTGTTATGACAAAAATGGCATAAACACAAAGGAAGGGGGAAATCATCTCCTGAACCCCATGAGCACGTTGGTGTCTAGACCTGCATCTGTGTGTGGGTGGGGGAGTGGCGGGGGGTGGGAGAAGCAAACACAGGGTCACCACGGAGCCCACATTCTGGGCTGAGCAAGACAGACACACGTGAAAGAGTGGTCACAGTAGGGGCCATGAAGAATGAGGTGGGGCTTCGAGGCCTTGGGTGTGGAGGTGCTGAGGGAGGTGGGGAGAGGGAGGAGAAAGAGGAGGATCTCGAAGAGAAGAGAAGGTCGTTGCGGGCAGTGCCTGCTCCCAGCCGCCCCAGGACCTCCCAGCTCCTTCCCAAACTGCCCCCTTGCCCAGCCAGCTCCCCACGTTCTAGAGGTCTGGGGCATGCCCCAGCTTCCAGGCCATGAGTCCAGGTCACCCGCTGGAATTGGGGTTTTACATCTGGGAACACCTAGCTCCAAATCCCTGCCCCAGGGGGCCAAAGGGAACCTCCTCAGCTGCTCCTCCCTCCCCTCCACCCTCAGGGAGGGGCCAACCTCAGTGCAAACTGCAGGGCTAGCTGGGTCCCCTTCCTGCCTTTCTCATCTGCACTACCAGGCGTACTCTGTTGAAAACGTGAGGCCTCTGTCACACCTTCCTCCCCAGCCCCTTGTTCCGTCGTCTTCCCTGCACAGCTTTCCTTTTTCTGCTGATGGCCCCCACTTACTGTCCCCCAGCACTGCGTGTGGCGCTGCCAGCCTGGCTGCTACTGCCCACCAGGCCAGGTACTGAGTTCCAACGGGGCCATCTGCGTGCAGCCGGGTCACTGCAGCTGCCTGGACCTGCTGACCGGGCAGCGGCACCATCCGGGTGCTCGGCTGGCAAGGCCTGACGGCTGCAACCACTGGTAAGGGGCCCTCGCCGTGGTGGGAGGCAGGGATGCCAGCAGGAGTTGCCCCACTTCATCCCATTCTCTCGAGCTCTCTGGAGTCTCCGCGGATGGTCACATTTGCCCCCCACAATCCCTGAGCAGATGTGGGGCAGGCACCAAGACCCGCGTCTGATAGGCGAGGACGCTGAAGCTGACCCTGTGTGTCTGCGGGGGCTGGGCACGTGCTCAGCGGCAGGAGGGGTCTGGGCAGGAGGAGTGACAGATATGGCATTCACAACCCATCTGACCACAGAGTTGGCTCCAGGGTACCTGCAGTCCTTCCCCAAGAGTAGGCATCATCTGGTGACCCCGAGAGGGCCAGCTAAGTGGGACAGGAAACAGGATAGGGAGGCACTGGAGAGCTGGGAGATGGGGCACTATCTGGCAGAAAACTGAGGATCAATCATAAGGATGAGGGGAGGGGAGAGGCAGCTGGGGGGGTGCAGAGTTAGGGTTTGGGGTAGGACTAAGCTGCTGCCTCTTCCTTCTGTGTCTGCACCCCCTGCCCAGCACCTGCCTGGAGGGGAGGCTGAACTGCACAGACCTGCCCTGCCCAGGTATGTGCCTAGCTTGGAGGGAGGTGAGGAGGGGGGCCTGGGACCGGGCAAGGGACGGGCTGCACCCCAGTGCCCACCATTCTCCTTGTAGTGCCCGGAGGCTGGTGCCCGTGGTCGGAGTGGACAATGTGCTCCCAGCCCTGCAGGGGCCAGACCAGGAGCCGCTCCAGGGCCTGTGCCTGCCCCACTCCTCAGCACGGTGGTGCCCCGTGCACTGGAGAGGCTGGGGAGGCAGGGGCCCAGCATCAGAGGGAGGCCTGCCCCAGCTACGCCACGTGCCCAGGTGTAATGCCCCACGAGGCCCATGCCCCTCCCCCAAAAGGCCCTAAAGCCCTGCTCCAGCCCCGCTAACCTGGGGCCTCCTAATGCGGATGATCTGTCTTCCTGCCACAGTGGACGGAGCCTGGGGCCCATGGGGGCCATGGTCTCCCTGCGACATGTGCTTGGGGCAGTCCCACCGGAGCCGGGCGTGCAGCCGGCCCCCCACCCCTGAGGGAGGGAGGCCCTGCCCTGGGAACCACACGCAGAGTCGCCCTTGCCAGGAAAATTCCACCCAGTGCACAGGTCAGGCTTCAGTGAGGTCTGAGAGGGCCCCTCTAAGTCCAGGGAGATGCCGACTCTGGCCTCTGACCTCCACACACATCATGTCACTATCTCAAGGGACAGTTCCCAGGCCATCAGTCATGGACCTGGTCAAGGTGGCGGGTCCGAATGGGCGCCAGGCATGGCAGGAGGGTTGAAAATGCCTCAGGATGCCCTTCGGTGACCACCCTCTCTGCTTTCTTCCTGCGTAGACTGCGGGGGTGGCCAGAGTCTGCATCCCTGTGGGCAGCCCTGCCCCCGCTCCTGCCAGGACCTGTCCCCTGGGAGTGTGTGCCAGCCAGGCTCTGTGGGCTGCCAGCCCACTTGTGGGTGCCCCCTGGGCCAGCTCTCCCAGGACGGGCTGTGCGTGCCCCCAGCCCACTGCCGCTGCCAGTACCAGCCTGGAGCCATGGGTGAGTGCCTCCCCTCTCCCCCAGCCCCCAGCACTGCAGTGCCACCTGTCTGGCCCCTGTGCCGCTGCCCCGGGGACCCAGCCTGGGGCTGCAGAACAAAAATGAGCGATTACCAGCTCTCCAGGCCTTCGTGTCCCTCGACTCCCCTCCCAGGGCTGGTCTGGTTGGAGTGTCCACCTCCCTTGTTCAGGACACAGGGTGCCATGCGGTGGAGGCAAGAGGGTGGGGAGTAGAAGGCCATGGGGTGGGAGGAGGGATGGATGGGGGGAGCTGAGCTGTCTGGAGCCCCCACCCTCCCTCCTGTGCCCCTCAGGGATCCCTGAGAACCAGAGCCGCTCAGCAGGGTCTAGGTTTAGCTCCTGGGAGAGCCTGGAACCCGGAGAGGTGGTCACTGGGCCATGTGACAACTGGTAAGCCAAGAGAAGTGGGGGCGGGGAGGCGCATAGAACCCAGGAGGGGAGCCCTCAGGGGATGGGGCTGGTCCTGTCTCTGAAGCCCCCTCCTTTGTCCCCAGCACCTGTGTGGCAGGCATTCTGCAATGCCAGGAGGTGCCTGACTGCCCGGACCCTGGGGTGTGGAGCTCTTGGGGCCCTTGGGAAGACTGCAGTGTTTCGTGTGGGGGCGGGGAGCAGCTGCGCTCCCGGCGCTGTGCTCGTCCTCCCTGCCCAGGGCCTGCCCGCCAGAGCCGCACATGCAGCACACAGGTCTGCAGAGGTGAGCGCCAGCCCGGGGCTAACCCCACTCTGACCTTTGAGTCCCATCCTGGCCTTTGACCCTGACTCATGGGTGCCTTTTGGCCTCTCCCTCCCCACCCCCACCTGTCCTCCAGTGCCCTCCCACCAGCGATGGACAAGTGAAGGAGGACTCAGCCAGGCTGTGGGAGCCTGTGGGAGGGGGCGCTGCCCAGGGCGGGGGGATGGGCAGGTGAAAGGCACTCCCTGAGGTGGTCAGTGAGGGCCGGGGCCGGAGCAGGTGCTGATGTGGCTGCTGCCTCAGAGGCAGGCTGCCCGGCTGGCCGCCTGTACCGTGAATGCCAGCCCGGCGAGGGATGCCCCTTCTCCTGCGCCCACGTCACGCAGCAGGTGGGCTGCTTCTCTGAGGGCTGCGAGGAGGGCTGCCACTGCCCCGAGGGCACCTTCCAGCACCGCCTGGCCTGTGTGCAGGTCAGAACCTGTCCACCCCACAGCCCTCCCTGCCCTCCCTTCGCCTGTCCCCTCTGTCATGTCTGTCACTTTTGCAGACCCTGTCATCCCTGGGCAGGCCCCTAAGCAGCACACAGGCTGGTGAGGCCAGCCGAGGCCTCTGCTGACAGCGTCAGGGGCAGGCAGAGTTAGACGCAGCCTCCCGGGGTCCCTGGTTCCCCGGGATGGGGAACACCTGCCACCTCTGGACTTGCCTGTCCTCTGTTCCTGACTGGTACATGTCCCAGCCCTGCTGGAGCTCACACCCACCCCTGTATTCCCCGCCCACCCCTCACCCTGGCAGGGAGGGGCAGTTTCCTGCCAGGTTCCCATGTTCCCCAACCTCACTGGCCCAGCCTCACCTCCCTGTCCTCCACTGTGGGTCATGGGTCTTCACTGCCCCTCTCTTGCCTGTCACATGCTTGTGGGGACAGTGCCCCTCACCTTCACTCCCCTTGGCCCCACCTGGTCCCTGCTGGGCATCCCAGCGGCAGCCGGGGCCCAGCTCTGCTCTGGGGAGCCTGACAGGCACACAGGGATCCCTTTCCTAATCCTAAAGCCGGCTGCCCAGTGGCCACTCCTGAGCCAGAGTTCCAGGATGCCATGTTCAGGAGGGACCAGAGCAGCCACCTGGTCTCACCTCCTAGACCTAGAGATGGTGACAGTGAGCCCCAGAGAGGGGAGGGGACACACCGAGGTCACACACAGCAGCAGAGCCAGACCCAAACCTAACGTCCCGATTCCTGGCTGAAGCTCTTTCTGCCCCCCGCATCATGTGTGAGCCTGTGAGGGTCTGTGTTGGTGCCTCCTTGTGTCCTGCTGGGCGCTCTGTGTGGGGAAGCCAGCTCAGGCCAAGCCCCGGCCATGCCCCTCTCATGGTGTGCTCATGCCCCTGATGGGGGTGAACAGCCCCCTGCTCCTGGAAATGCTTTCCTGGAGCCTGGAGCCCTTTTCCGGGTCCTCACACTGTCCCTCCCCAAGTCTCTCCAGGGGATGCGCACAGCCCCGGGTGGGTGGCTGGCCTGTGCTGTGATGCTGCCTCCTCTGCCCCACTCTCCCAGGAGTGCCCTTGTGTGCTGACAGCCTGGCTGCTGCAGGAGCTGGGAGCCACCATAGGTGACCCTGGTCAGCCCCTCGGGCCTGGAGATGAGCTGGACTCAGGCCAGACACTTCGTACAAGCTGTGGCAACTGGTGAGGGGGATGGTGAGGGTGGGGACTGGGCTGGGGAGGGTCAGGGAGATTTTCAGTGGAGGGAGGGGTTAGAGGGTAAGAGGACAGGGACCGGGAACCCCAGTCTACCCTCTGGCCCCACCTGGGCTGGGCTAACCTGGCTCTTCCCCCAGCTCGTGTGCACACGGGAAGCTGTCTTGCTCCCTGGACGACTGCTTCGAGGCCGATGGTGGTTTCGGTCCCTGGAGCCCGTGGGGCCCGTGCTCCCGCTCCTGTGGAGGGCTGGGCACCCGTACCCGCAGCCGCCAGTGTGTGCTCACCATGCCCACCCTCAGTGGTCAGGGCTGCCGTGGGCCCCGCCAGGACCTCGAGTACTGCCCCAGCCCAGACTGCCCTGGTAAGGACAGGCAGAAGGTGGTGGGCAGGGCTGGGGTCAGGATGGCACTGGACAGACGTCTAGGAGGCCTTATTGGAGGAGGCAGTATCTGAGGGGTTTTGAGGGAGGGAGGGAACTTTGACCAGCATTGGAAGGAAAGGAACAGCTTGAGCAAAGGCCTTGAGCCTGCAAGGAAGTGCTGTGCTTGGGGCCTGGGTGTCCGCAGGAGCTCAAGCTGAGGAAGGCTGGACTAGATAGCCATGAGCCCGCAGTGCCAGCTGCCAGCCTTAGGCGTGGTCCCGGTGCGCTGTGGGTACCAAAACATTTCTGAGTGGGGTTTCCTTTGGCACAGGGGCTGAAGGGTCCACGGTGGAGCCAGTAACAGGCCTTCCAGGTAGCTCCAGACTCCCTGTACCTCTGCCTCATGGCCTCCCTGTGGGAAGAGCAAGCCCAGGGACCCCTCCCCGCTTCCCCCTCCCCTGCTTCCTGGAGAGGCTGAAACTCAGGGCCGACTCAGCACAAGGCACCCTCCCCAATCCCTCCCCCAGGTGGCTGGGGCCCATGGTCCTCCTGGTCCCCCTGCTCCAGAAGCTGCACGGACCCCGCTCGCCCTGCATGGCGCAGCCGCACCCGCCTCTGCCTGGCTAACTGCACCATGGGGGACCCATTACAGGAGCGCCCCTGCAACCTGCCCTCATGCACAGGTGTGCCTTCCAGCCTCAACTTCTGATCCCAGCCACCACCCTCAGACAACTCATTGTAACCCCCAATTCCCAATATCTAATACCCCTCAGGTAATCATTGGTTTCTAGTGTTGACATCTCATTTCAAATCAGTGTCTGACTCCGGGCTCTGGATCCTCTTTGCCAACCCCAGCAGATGCTGGGGAGCCCAACTTCCAGCACATTCCTTGTTCTCTGGTGTGTGTGCTGAACTCTCCACCCGCCCCAAGGTCCCGCCCAAATCCCTCCATAGCCCTGTAGTCTGGGATTACTGTCCCTGATGAGAAAAGGGGATAGTGAGGCCCAGTTGTCAAAGCCACACAGCAGTCAGTGTCAGATCCAGAATGAGAGCCCAGAGCTCTGGACGAGGCCACTGCTGGCCTGGGTGGTGGAGGTCCACCGTTGAGCTGGGAGCAGAGAGGAAAGGCTGGGCAGGTGTCATGCAGCCGGGACTGGCTCCAGCTCCGCTTTGTGTCACAGAGCTGCCCGTGTGCCCTGGCCCTGGCTGTGGGGCTGGGAACTGTTCCTGGACCTCCTGGGCCCCGTGGGAACCTTGCTCCCGCAGCTGCGGAGTGGGCCAGCAGCGCCGCCTGCGGGCATACCGTCCCCCTGGGCCCGGCGGGCACTGGTGCCCCAACATCCTTACTGCCTACCAAGAGCGCCGCTTCTGCAACCTGCGAGCCTGCCCAGGTGAGGCGGCTGGGGGAGACCAGGGCATGCCCCAGGCTCTGCCCCTGGAAGGCCCCTGGCATCAGTGCCCCCTCCCAGGCACCCAGCCTACCTGAGTGTGGCACTTTCATCTCTCACACCAGACCCTGACCTGGGCTCGTGGGATAGGTGGGGGCCCCCTGCCTGAGCCGACCCCTCAGGTGGCCGTTCTCTTTCCCACAGTGCCCGGGGGCTGGTCACGCTGGAGTCCCTGGTCCTGGTGTGACCGCAGCTGTGGGGGAGGCCAATCCCTGAGAAGCCGCAGCTGCTCAAGCCCCCCATCCAAGAACGGGGGAGCCCCCTGTGCTGGGGAGCGGCACCAGGCCCGCCTCTGCAATCCCATGCCTTGTGGTATGGCAATGGTGACAGTCCTGTCCTACCCTTATTGGGCTCCACTCTGCATGGGGCCTGGCTGCTACCTCATGGGCCAGTTTGGAAACTGAGCCCTCTGGGGTGGAGGGCTGGGCCTGGCGTTGGGCAAGGATACCCTGAGCATGTCTGTTGTCTGTGCCAAGGCCCAAGGATCCACCCTGGCCACCCCAACCCACAGGAGAGCTCCTCCTTTCAGCTTTCCCACCCCCGAGGTGGGAAAGAGCCACCAGCCCTGTCACAATTTTTGGAGGCTTTGACAGTGGCACTTTTAGGAGCGGCTGTGGCACTCGTGGGTGGTGGATGGAGCCAGCGGCTGTAGCTGAGCCTGTGCCTCCTCCCGTCACCCCCAAGCTTCAGCTCCTTCTTTAATTGGCCCTCAACAGCCCCATGGCATGGGTTCCCCCGGGGCTCCCCTCCTCTATCCCCACCCATCCTCTGGGTGGACACAAAAGAGGCTCCAGGTGACATTATTGGCTTTTGAGACCCACAAATTTAGTCCAGCTCCACAAACATTTACTGGGTACCGGGTAGGTGCTGAGAACTCACAGGAGGTGAGAGGAACTCACTGTCTACCTAGAATGTCCCAATTCCAGAGTCTTCCCGAGTCTCCCGTGTTTCAGTGAGCACCAGTGTGGGGGATGGGATGGGTCCTGTAGCTTTATGGAGGTAGGGAGTCCCCAGTAGGGCAGAGGGAGGGTTTCTGAGCCCTGGGCCCTCCTGACTCTGGGCCCTCCATCTGCTCAGAGGCCGGCTGCCCAGCAGGCATGGAGGTGGTCACCTGTGCCAACCGCTGCCCCCGCCGCTGCTCAGACCTCCAGGAGGGAATTGTGTGTCAGGACGACCAGGTCTGCCAGAAGGGCTGCCGCTGCCCAAAGGGTAGGTGCTGCCCTATCCTTCAGGAGTGTCAGGGTGGCTGAGTGGGAAGGTGTGGGTGGGGCCAGGGGTGCAAGCTCCAGCCCTTGCCCCACAGGGTCCCTGGAGCAGGATGGTGGCTGCGTGCCAATTGGGCACTGTGACTGCACCGATGCCCAGGGCCACAGCTGGGCCCCGGGGAGCCAGCACCAGGATGCCTGCAACAACTGCTCATGCCAAGCTGGGCAGCTCTCCTGCACGGCTCAGCCCTGCCCGCCTCCCACCCACTGTGCCTGGAGCCACTGGTCGGCCTGGAGTCCCTGCAGCCACTCATGCGGGCCCAGAGGGCAGCAGAGCCGCTTCCGGTACGGGGCTGGCAGGGCTAGATGTCCCTTCTGCCACCCAGGGCCTCACTCTGCAAGGCGCAGTCTCCCTTCTGACAGAGTTCCTGGGTCCTGCTCTCACCAGCGACAGCACCACCCCAGGCCCTGGGCCAGCTCTGTCCCTGGTTACCCTGGCTTTTCCTCAGCTACCCCCATGCCCACCCTGAGGTGTCCCGTCAGGGTGTCTCATCAGGAGACAGAGAAGGGATGACGGGCCTGAGCTATCTCTCACCTCCTCTGCCCTGGCCCCACCCAGGTCCTCCACGTCGGGCTCGTGGGCCCCAGAGTGTCGGGAGGAGCAGTCCCAGAGCCAGCCCTGCCCTCAGCCCTCGTGCCCACCCCTGTGCCTGCAGGGCACTCGCTCCCGCACCCTGGGGGACAGCTGGCTGCAGGGGGAGTGCCAGCGGTGGTGAGTGCAGGGCAGGGAGGGGGGCTGGAACCGCCCTGCTGGAGAGCAGAGTCCTGAGTCCCGGCTCTTTCCCAGCTCCTGCACCCCGGAGGGTGTGATCTGCGAAGATACGGAGTGTGCAGGTCTGGGCTGCCTCCGGATCCCCGCCTCAGCCACCCTTCTAGCCTCATGCCTTGCCTGCCATGTGCTCTGTGTCTCATTTTCTCCCACCTTACTTAACTGCCACTCCCTTGGCCACCATGCAGGTCCCCACCCAGTCCTTTGGCCTTTGCTCCCTCCGCCTCCTCTGACCTCACCTGTGCCCTCCCACAGTGCCTGAGGCTTGGACGCTGTGGTCCTCCTGGTCCGACTGCCCTGTCTCCTGTGGAGGTGGAAACCAGGTCCGAACCCGGGCCTGCAGGGCCGCAGCCCCTCACCACAGGAGCCCACCCTGCCTGGGCCCTGACACCCAGACCAGGCAGCAGCCTTGCCCAGGGCTGCTGGAGGCCTGCTCCTGGGGCCCGTGGGGGCCCTGTTCCCGCAGCTGCGGCCCGGGCCTGGCCTCTCGCTCTGGGTCCTGCCCCTGCCTGATGGCCAAGGCCGACCCCACCTGCAACAGCACCTTCCTCCACCTGGACACCCAGGGCTGCTACTCAGGGCCCTGCCCAGGTGAGTGTTCAGGGGAAGTGAAATCACCTCTCTACTTTTCCTACCTTGGGAGATTCAGAAAATAAATGTTCCTAGTTCCCGGATCATCCCTTAAAATAAGCCTGCCCTGTCTGTGCCCCCATGTTTTGCTCAGTTCCTTTCCTCTTCCCACCATCTCTTCCCTCGGGGCCCTCCTTGTAGGGTGAGAGGGCGTCCAGCCAGCTGGGCCTTTCAGGCCCCTCTTGCCTGTTTCCTGTGCAGGGTCTCGGCAGGGCTGGGGTGAGAGGGAGGGCAGGCAGGGGAGAGGTGGGCTGACACACCCCTCCGGTCCCTAGAGGAGTGTGTGTGGAGCAGCTGGAGCAGCTGGACGCGCTGCTCTTGCCGGGTGCTGGTGCAGCAGCGCTACCGACACCAGGGCCCGGCGTCCCGAGGGGCCAGGGCAGGCGCCCCCTGCACGCGGCTGGATGGCCACTTCCGGCCTTGCCTTATCAGCAACTGCTCTGGTGAGGCTCCAGCAGCAAGTTAACCAGGGAGCTGCGCAGGGCAGCAGCCACCAAGGGTCCCTGCTGGAACTCCCTGCTCCCCTCCCCTCACAGCCAATGTAGTGCCCCAAGACCTCAGAGCAGCTGCCTGCGCCCGTGCCTGCCCTCAAACCCAGCTGCTCCCCTGCTCCCCCCAGATACTCCCTCATCACAGCTGCGACCCCAATCCCTCACCACAATTTGTCCACCCTGCAGCTGCCGGCCCGCCTGTGGCTTTGGCCCATGTAGCTGCCCTCTAGGAGGGTGTCTTACCCAGCTCCTGCTGCGGCTGCCCTCCATCTCTGCCCCTCTGTCTCCCATCTCTGCCCCTCTGTCTCCCATCTGCCAATTTCTGGAGCACCTGCCAAGGCCCCTCACTCCTGCAGCCCCCTCCTCAGCTGCCTCCTCCAGGCATCTTCCTGGCTCTCCAAGGCCCAACCCATCCTGATCCTTCCCTGGAGGTGCCCACAGGTGCTGAGTGGATGCCAGATGGGGGATACTGGTCTGTTCCAACTTGCGGAGGGTGGGCATCTTGTACTCTCACCAGGTGACCCCAAGGGCCTCAGTAGAGCCACGCGGCATGTGCTCTGGGCTTTGGGAGTGATGTCTCTGGGCTGTTCCCCCACAAGCCTGCCTCTCCCCCATCTCCCCCAGAGGACAGCTGCACGCCTCCCTTTGAGTTCCATGCCTGCGGCTCCCCCTGTGCTGGGCTCTGTGCCACACACCTGAGCCATCAGCTCTGCCAGGACCTGCCACCCTGCCAGCCGGGCTGCTACTGCCCCAAGGTGAGAGCTGGGAGCTGGAGCAACTTCCAAGGAGAAGGGGGTCTTCTGCCCACACTCCTGCTCCTCCTTCTTTCTGTGATGTCCATGGCGGCCCCACCTCCTTCAAACCCCTTGGAACTCGGTGCCTCCTCCCAGCTTGCCATTCACTCGGCATCATGCATATGCACCTGCTGCAGGCGGGGCACAGTGCTGGGTGCTGGGATGACACGATGATCACTGCCCCATCTCTCCTTCCACCCAGGGGCTGCTGGAGCAGGCTGGGGGCTGCATTCCCCCAGAGGAGTGTAACTGCTGGCATACCTCAGCAGCAGGAGCCGGGATGACCCTGGCCCCTGGGGACCGCCTGCAGCTGGGCTGTAAGGAGTGGTGAGTGATGGTGGAAGGGAGACAGAGGGCTGGGGCCAGGGAATAGGGCAGGGAGGCCTGGGGGGCCCAGTCCAGCCTCAGGACAGAGGACCCTGAGATGCTAGAGTTTGCAGCTCCCTCATCTTGCCCCAAATGTGCCTAGGGGTCAGGTTACCCTTGCATGACCACCCCCACCCCCCGGAGGTCCTGGACTGGGTCCTGCCTCCCTTAGTCTACCCTGACTACCCCCTCCCACAGTGAATGCCGGCGTGGGGAGCTGCACTGCACCAGCCAGGGCTGTCAAGGTAACCCTGACCTATGGAGACAACAGTCCCCATTGCTTGGGACTGGGGGAGTTTCTGGGATGCAGAACTTTCAGTGCTAAGACGGGGACAGTCCCAGGCAAACTGGGATGGTGGGTCACCTTACCCTGCCCCCACACCACCCTCAGCCTTTCTGTTTCCAGCACTTCCTGGTCATGACCCTGAGCCCCTCCTGCCTGTCCACCAGGGTCTCTGGGCCCAGGGGTGGTCACTGGGAAGGGCACCCACACCCTGTCCTTCCAGGTCTTCTGCCTCTGAGTGAGTGGTCCGAGTGGTCGCCCTGTGGGCCCTGCCTGCCGCCCAGCGCCCTGGCCCCTGCCTCCAGGACTGCCCTAGAGGAGCACTGGCTCCGAGACCCAACTGGCCTCTCCCCCACCTTGGCCCCGCTGCTGGCTTCAGAGCAGCACCGCCACCGGCTCTGTCTGGATCCTGCGACAGGGAGGCCCTGGACTGGAGCCCCTCACCTCTGCACCGCACCCCTCAGCCAGCAGCGCCTCTGCCCTGACCCTGGAGCCTGCCCTGGTAATGGGGAGAGGCAGAGGCCAGGGGACAGGACGGGCCTGGAGTGCAGGTTGGGGGGACCTGGCCGGGAGGGGCTAGGCTATAGAGCACATTGACCTGCTACCCCTCCTGCTTGTCTCTAAGGCCTGCAGGATTTGAAGCTGGGGGTGGGGTCCAGGCAGCAGCTAGAAAGAGAAGCGGGAGAGCCTAGAGGGCTTTAAGGCCTGCCGGAGCGTTTGCGACGACAGAGCTCAAGGCTTGAGGGGGAGGCAAGAGGTGGGCCTGGGTACTGACTCCATCATACCTTCCCCAGACTCATGCCAGTGGAGTCTGTGGGGGCCATGGAGCCCCTGCCAGGTGCCCTGCAGTGGGGGGTTCAGGCTACGCTGGAGAGAGGCAGAGGCCCTCTGTGGAGGAGGCTGCCGGGAGCCATGGGCTCAAGACAGAAAGCTGCAACGGAGGGCCCTGCCCAGGTAACTCCCATCCCCGATCCAGAGGAGAGCCTGGGACAGGAACATCTGAGACCAAACCTGAGGGGAGAGTTGGCTCTGCCCCAGAGCCGTGCAGTGGAAGCGGGGGCCCAAGAGCGTCCCCAACACAGACTCCTATCATCTGGTCGTCAGGTTAGAGCTGCGAGGCCCAAGACACTGTATTCACCCTGGACTGTGCCAACCAGTGCCCACACA
Organism: Homo sapiens; assembly: GCF_000001405.40. Lineage (NCBI taxonomy): Eukaryota > Metazoa > Chordata > Mammalia > Primates > Hominidae > Homo > Homo sapiens. The sequence continues at coordinate 149,825,338 of NC_000007.14, forward strand.
GCTGTGCCGACCTCTGGGACCGCGTTCAGTGTCTGCAGGGACCCTGCCGCCCAGGTAGCCAGCAGGCCCCACCACCTAGCTGGGAGTTCCAGGAAAGCCTGGGCCTCCCCCAGCTGCCTCCTGCTCCCAGAGAGTGTGTGATCTCGGGCAGGGGTGGGGGAGGTTCAGACTGCTGGGTCATGAGTGACAGGGCAGGAAAGTGGTCACTTTCAGCAGCCAGCTCTGAGTCCTGCAAGGAGTGAGGGTCACTCAGGGCCACTGTTCCATGTGGATGCTCAGGTGGCTGTCAGGGTTACTCGGGTGGTGCCCACACAGGCTAGAGCAGCCCGTTCCTGTGCATGGGCAGTGGGAGATACTGTGGAAACTAGGCTTTGGACTCGATCTGATTGCTGGGGGAGGATCCATTGTGTGAGCCCTGCCCGAGCACCCAATCTTGTTCCGCCTCTTTACCCACACCCCTAGGCTGCCGCTGTCCCCCTGGCCAGCTGGTCCAGGATGGGCGCTGTGTGCCGATCTCCTCTTGCCGCTGTGGCCTCCCCAGTGCCAATGCCTCTTGGGAGCTGGCCCCGGCCCAGGCGGTGCAGCTGGACTGCCAAAACTGGTATGGCTGCAGCCACGCCAGGGCTAAGGGAGCTTTGGGTGGAGGCATGGGGCAGGTCAGCCTTCGTCAGCATTGTTGGGGAGTGAGGGTTCTGTTCACCCTGACTGGAGCCCTTTGTGCTTACCCCTGTCCACAGCACCTGTGTCAACGAGTCCCTGGTGTGCCCACACCAGGAGTGTCCAGTCCTTGGGCCTTGGTCAGCCTGGAGCAGTTGCTCGGCCCCCTGTGGTGGGGGCACTATGGAGCGACATCGGACTTGTGAGGGGGGTCCTGGGGTGGCACCATGCCAGGCCCAGGACACAGAGCAACGGCAGGAGTGTAACCTGCAGCCCTGCCCTGGTAAGTGCCCTGGGCGGCAGGTGACTGACTCCCTCCATTGCTGCTGAGCCCAGGCCCTGCCCCAGCTGTGGGGGGTAGGTGTGGGGAGAGGAGGTCGGACCCAGGGCAGCTCCCTCCCTGGGACTGGAGATGCTGGGTCCCTCCCATCTCCCTACCTGTGTGCTCCCCACAGAGTGCCCCCCTGGCCAGGTGCTTAGTGCCTGTGCCACCTCATGCCCGTGCCTCTGCTGGCATCTGCAGCCTGGTGCCATCTGTGTGCAGGAGCCCTGCCAGCCTGGCTGTGGCTGCCCTGGAGGGCAGGTGGGTACGGGGTGCTGTGTCCTGACTCCCTGTGGGGGAAGCCGGCAGGTGGGGAGGGAAGAGGCGGTGGTCTGAGTGTCACTGAGCCTGCCCTGCTGCAGCTGCTGCACAATGGCACGTGTGTGCCTCCCACTGCCTGCCCCTGCACCCAGCATTCTCTGCCCTGGGGCCTCACCCTGACCCTGGAAGAGCAGGCCCAGGAGCTGCCCCCAGGGACTGTGCTCACCCGGAACTGCACCCGCTGGTGAGGGCCTGGCCCTGGGGTGGGGAGCAGGGATGAGGAAGGGTAGGGAGGAGGACATGGGAGGCATCTGAGTGTGCTTCTGTCTTCTCAGTGTCTGCCACGGTGGAGCCTTCAGCTGCTCCCTCGTTGACTGTCAGGGTGAGATGTGGCTGTCCATGCCCTGCTGCACCTCCAAAGTCAAGGCCCGGGACTGGCACTGAGGAGGAGAGACGGGCCCTGCTCACAGACTAGACAGAGCTTCAGAAAGCCCTCCCCTGTCTGTCCACACTGACCTCTCTCTAACTGGAGACCCAGCACCCCCTGCCGAGGGCTCCCTGGGCACTCAGTGTGGTCTGCCCCACTTGTGGGGGCATTCCCTAGCACACAGTATACACAGAGCCAGGGCTGTGATGCCAGGAAGTGGAAGGTTCTTTCCCTGCCAGTGAGGAAACTGAGGTCTGGAGGGGTGAGCGGAAATGAGGGGCCTGGCCTGGCAGCCCCCGGGCTGATAGCATTTGCCCTGTGGGGTGCAGTGTTACCCCCATCTGATCAAGACCAAGGGCCCACCCACCGTGTTCCCAGCTCTGCCACGCTGGGCTCTGTGAATGCAGACATGCAGCATGGCCAGCCTCCGGGCAGACCACCCACCCCCAGAACAGGCAGAGACAGGGCACAGTCTCTAGGTCTCTGACAGGCAGGTAGAACCCCAGAGGGTGAGACATCAGTGCTGAGAATAGAGGCCGAGTGGACAGGATTGGTCAGGGAGCCTTTTCTGGAGGAGGTGAGACCTGGCCTGGGTCCAGCTAGTGTTTGGGTGGGTGGATAAGAAAGATCAGGAGGTGTGGTTGGAGGCTGCTGTGGCTGAGAAGGCAAGATGGGGACGTGTGGGTGCTCAGCTTGGGAGGGGAGGAATCGAGGCTGGATCCAGGGCTGACCTGAAAGCTGGGTTGGATGGTCTTCCCTGGCAGAGTGCCCCCTGGGGAAACGTGGCAGCAGGTGGCCCCGGGGGAGCTGGGGCTCTGCGAGCAGACGTGCCTGGAGATGAACGCCACAAAGACCCAGAGTAACTGCAGTTCAGCTCGAGCCTCGGGCTGCGTGTGCCAGCCCGGGCACTTCCGCAGCCAGGCAGGCCCCTGCGTCCCCGAAGACCACTGCGAGTGCTGGCACCTTGGGCGTCCCCACCTGGTGAGACACCGAACCCCCTCTGCTACCACTCACCCATTCCTGACCCCAAGCCTCCCCATCTGTCTGTAACTCCACTGGCTCCTCCCCCTACTCCAGGCCCTGCAGCAGCCGGCAGGGCTCCGCTCTCCCCCTGGGACAGTCTCTGGCCCCAACAGTTCATCTCCTTCCTGGGTCTCTTGTTGCCTGACTCCATCCAAGCCCATTGCCCCGGCTAGGCACTCACAGGCTGGGCTTGGGGATCAGGGATACTATTATAGAAAAGTCTGCAAGTTGGAGCCGGGCACGGTGGCTCATGCCTGTAATCCCAGCACTTTGGGAGGCTGAGGTAGGCGGATCATGAGGTCGAGAGATCAAGACCATCCTGGCCAACATGGTGAAACCCCATCTCTACTAAAAATACAAACATTAGCTGAGAGTGCTGGTGCGTGCCTGTAGTCCCAGCTACTCGGGAGGCTGAGGCGGGAGAATCACTTGAACTGGGGAGGTGGAGGTTGCAGTGAGCCGAGATTGTGCCACTGCACTCCAGCCTGGCGACAGAGTGAGACTCCGTCTCAAAAAACAAAACAAAACAATACAAAACAAAACAAAACAAAACAAAACAAATCTGCAAGTTGGGAGAGACCAAGAGGAGGCTCTCCCCTACTCTCCCCAGCCTGGATCTGAATGGCAGGAGGCCTGTGAGAGCTGCCTCTGCCTCAGTGGGAGGCCTGTCTGCACCCAGCACTGCTCCCCACTCACCTGTGCTCAGGTACGCCCTGCATCCCTGCTACTCTCCGGGGTGGTTCCCCCCTTACCTGGGCTCCGGTACCCCCTGCAGCCCTACCACCCTCCCTGGTTCCTCGGGCTCCTTCCTGGGACCCTCCTCCGAGGTTGGTCTTAGGGTCTCTGAGTGGGGAGGGCGGGCCGGGCTCCAGGTGTCAAGACCACCTTGGGACTCTCTCCCTCTGCAGGGCGAGGAGATGGTGCTGGAGCCAGGGAGCTGCTGTCCCTCTTGCCGCAGGGAGGCTCCGGGTATGGAGGGAACCTGGGTGCATTGTGGGGTGCCTCTCCCTGGTCTAGACCCTTCTCCCCTGCCACCCCACACCTGGCCTTTGCAGCCTGGCAGCTGCCTGACTCCCCCAGGCCAACCCACCATGGGGATTTGAGGAGTGAAGACCCCAGCACATATCATAGCGCCTGGTCACCTCGCCCCACACGCTTCCCTCAGACCCAGGCCCTGCCCCTCTTCCCACAGTCCCCTCAGTCCCCTCCTCCTCCTGTGCTCTGTCCCCCCCCCCACAGTCTCCTCAGTCATCCCCTCCTCCTGTGTCCCCTCCACAGTCCCCTCAGTCATCCCCTCCTCCTCCTGTGCTCTGTCCCCCCCACAGTCCCCTCTGCCATCTCCTCCTCCTGTGTCCTCTACAGTCCCCTTAGTCCCCTCCTCCTCCTGTGTCCCCCTCCACAGTCCCTCAGTCACCTCCTCCTGTGCCTTCCCGCACAGTCCCCTCAGTCACCTCCTCCTCTGTCCCCCCCACAGTCCCCTCAGTCCCCTCCTCCTCCTGTGCTGTCCCCCACAGTCCCCTCCATCATCCCCTCCACCTGTGTCCCCTCCACAGTCCCCTCAGTCCCCTCCACCTCCTGTGTCCTCCCACAGTCCCCTCAGTCCCCTCCTCCTGTGTCCTCCCACAGTCTCCTCAGTCATCCCCTCCTCCTGTGTCCCCTCAGTCATCCCCTCCTCCTGTGTCCCCTCCACAGTCCCCGCAGTCATCCCCTCCTCCTGTGTCCTCCTCCACAGTCTCCTCAGTCCCCTCCTCCTGTGTCCCCCCCACAGTCCCCTCAGTCACCTCCTCCTCCTGTGCCCTCCCCCACAGTCCCCTCCATCATCCCCTCCTCCTGTGTCCCCCCCACAGTCCCCTCAGTCACCTCCTCCTCTGTCCCCCCGCACAGTCCCCTCAGTCACCTCCTCCTCCTGTGCCTTCCCGCACAGTCCCCTCAGTCACCTCCTCCTCTGTCCCCCCACAGTCCCCTCAGTCCCCTCCTCCTCCTGTGCTGTCCCCCACAGTCCCCTCCATCATCCCCTCCACCTGTGTCCCCTCCACAGTCCCCTCAGTCCCCTCCACCTCCTATGTCCTCCCACAGTCCCCTCAGTCCCCTCCTCCTGTGTCCTCCCACAGTCTCCTCAGTCATCCCCTCCTCCTGTGTCCCCTCCACAGTCCCCTCAGTCATCCCCTCCTCCTGTGTCCCCTCCACAGTCCCCTCAGTCCCCTCCTCCTCCTGTGTCCTCCCACAGTCCCCTCAGTCCCCTCCTCCTGTGTCCTCCCACAGTCTCCTCAGTCATCCCCTCCTCCTGTGTCCCCTCCACAGTCCCCTTAGTCACCTCCTCCTCCTGTGCCTTCCCGCACAGTCCCCTCAGTCACCTCCTCCTCTGTCCCCCCCCACAGTCCCCTCAGTCACCTCCTCCTCCTGTGCCCTCCACAACAGTCCCCTCAGTCATCCCCTCCTCCTGTGTCCTCCTCCACAGTCCTCTCAGTCATCTCCTCCTCCTGTGTCCTCCCACAACAGTCCCCTCAGTCATCCCCTCCTCCTGTGTCCCCTCCACAGTCCCCTCCTCCTCTGTCCCCCCCACAGTCCCCAGTCCCCTCCTCCTCCTGTGCCTCCCCTCCACAGTCCCCTCAGTCACCTCCTCCTCCTGTGTCCTCCCACAACAGTCCCCTCAGTCATCCCCTCCTCCTGTGTCCTCCCACAGTCCCCTCAGTCACCTCCTCCTCCTGTGCCGTCCCCCACAGTCCCCTCAGTCACCTCCTTCTCCTGTGCCTCCCCTCCACAGTCCCCTCAGTCACCTCCTCCTGTGTCCTTCCACAGTCTCCTCTGTCACCTCCTCCTCCTGTGCCTCCCCTCCACAGTCCCCTCAGTCATCCCCTCCTCCTGTGTCCTCCCACAGTCCCCTCAGTCACCTCCTCCTCCTATGCCTCCCCTCCACAGTCCCCTCTGTCACCTCCTTCTCCTGTGCCCTCCCCACAGTCTCCTCTGTCACCTCCTCCTCCTGTTTCCCCCTGCATTCCCCCTGTCACCTCGTTCTCCTGTGCCTCCCCACCCCCACAGTCCCCTCAGTCACCTCTGCCTCCTGTGCCCCACCCCCACCTCCTGCCACTCAATGCCCCTCCCCACAGAGGAGCAGTCGCCCTCCTGCCAGCTCCTCACGGAGCTTCGAAACTTCACCAAAGGGACCTGTTACCTGGACCAGGTAGAAGTGAGCTACTGCAGTGGGTACTGCCCATCCAGCACCCATGTCATGCCAGAGGTGAGCCAGGGACCTGCTGTCCAGGCCAGGGGAATCACGTTGGCCAGTGGCCACCGAGGGCTGCCCTGAGCCTGGGACCTGGGCAGAACCAGAGTCCATGAGGCACAAGGTGCTTCTGATGGAGATAACAGTGGAGTTGGGGAGGCAGATGGTCAGAGCTTTCCCCAAGGCAGTGGTGTGCACCTGCAGGTTGGCCCAGAGGTTTCACTGGGTGCCTGACCCCCTCCCACAGAGGTCTTCTGTGGCCCCACACCATTCCCAGAGTGTGCCCGCTGTGCCCTTCAAGGCAATGAGCCAGGAGCCCAGCAAAGAAAGGCATGGAGGAGCTAAGCTAGCCTCTGACATCAGAACCCATCACACGGTGCATGAGAGCATGAGAGCTCTGCCGGAATGCACTTTCTACAGAGAGGATCACCGCACACATTTCCTGCAAGCTGTCCGAGCCAGGCTGGCTCTGAGTCTTGGGCAGGTGGCTCCGCTCTGCGTTTGCCCTCTGTGGACCCAGAAGCCCCTGATCCTTCTTAGGATCTTCCAAGGGGCTCTGTGCCCACCCTGACTCCCCTCAGCCTGATGAGCTGTAACCTGAGCTGCCTCCTGCCAGGGTCCTCTCTCCAGCTTCACTCACACTACTCCTGCCTGCCCCTAGGCCCACCTCCCAGCACTCTGCGGCCATCCCTTCTGCTTCAGCCTACCTGGTTTACCTCATCCTGGAAGACAAGGATACTTTCCTACCTGGTCCCCAAAGACACAGCCCCTCAACCCTCGGCCGCTCTACGGCTCCCCCAGGCGCGCCCTGGACCTCCTGGAAATACTTTCCCAAATCACTTTCGGAATTTTTTTTCACACTTTTAGAATTTTTAAAACATAGAGTGAGAAAAGAGAGAAAGTAATTAAGAGATGCTTTTTTTTTTTTCCTGAGGAAAGAAATTGATAGTGGGATACAAATTGGAGGGAAATTTTTTCGCTGAAAAACCTCTTGCAGTTTTTGAACCTGGCATTGTATGAATGTACTACCCATTTAAAAGTAAAATTATAAATAGAATTATACATAAAATTAAATGATATGCTTATAGGACTCTGATATAGGTGCTTTAACCACAGTGCACAGGGATCTGCTTTGGAGTGAAAACTCACTTTGCACTTGGGATCAGAACTATGCAGTTAGAACTGACTTATTTGTAGTTTCATAGATTATAACTCTGTCTGTCCAACTAGACTCTAAGCCCCTTGCGGTAGAAGTATGTCCTTCCCCCTGCAGCCAGGAGGCACTGATGGGAACGTTAAAAGTATTCGTTTAACCTGTAGGTTGTTGGACATTCAGACAGTGGGGGTGAAGGAGGTGGGCTTCTTGCAAAAGGGGCTTGGCAGTGGCCCAGCCACCCTGCTCAGTGAAGAGGGTGGGATCTGGCCCTCCCACCATCCCACCCTGCCTAAGATGGGAAAGGCCAAGGGAGGGGAGGAAACTCCATTTGGCCCTAGTTCACCCGCTCCCTCTCGCCCAGGAGCCATACCTGCAGAGCCAGTGTGACTGCTGCAGCTACCGTCTAGACCCGGAGAGCCCTGTGCGGATCCTGAACCTGCGCTGTCTGGGTGGCCACACAGAGCCCGTGGTGCTGCCGGTCATCCACAGCTGCCAGTGCAGCTCCTGCCAGGGTGGGTCTGGGCAGGGAGGGGACGGGGCAGGAGCCTGGGCAAGGACCCAGTGTTGTGAACCAGACCCAGGAACACACGTGTAGCTCCTCACTCCATCCTTCTTCCTTGAGTCCTTCCAGTCCACGTTTTTCCTTCTTCTCGGTGTTCTTGTTAATTTCATCTCCTATCATGCATACTTGTGGGTGTCTGGGGTAGTTGCACCTAGTTCAAACCCCAGCTCATCTGTTTCCTTTGTTTCCTTGCTCAGCCTCCCTGACATCATCTTTTTTTTTTTTTTTTTTTGTGATGGGGTCTCACTCTGTCACCCAGGCTGGAGTGCAGTGGTGTGATCTCGGCTCACTGCAGCCTGGAACTCCTGGTCTCAGGTGATCCTTCCGCCTCAGCCTCCTGAGTAGCCGGGACCACAGGTCACAGGTGTGAGCCACCATGCCGGGCTAATTTTTCTTTTCCTTTTTTTTTTTTTTTTTTTTTTCTGTAGGGACGGGGTTTCGCCATGTTGCCCAGGCTGTTCTTGAACTCCTGGGCTCGAGTGATCCACCTGCCTCAGCCTCCCAATGCGCTGGGGTTACAGGCAGGAACCACTGCACCCAGCCCCCTGACCTCATCTTTTAAGCAAGGCTGACATTGCTATGCAGGCTTGTTGGGTGGACTTGGTGAGGGCACGCGTGTGAAGTGGCTGGCAGGTGCCTAGTTCTGTTAAGCACCTGCCATATGATAACCTGAGGTCCCACTGTGTGGCAGATGAAGGGGAAACAGAGGTGGAAGGCACCCGTGCCACCTGGGTGGAGCACAGTGGAAGGCCTGGTGTTGGCTCTGGGCGTCCTCCTGGCACCAGCCTGACCACTCTGCCTCTCTTACTAACCCATCTCTCCCTCACGTGTCCCCTAGGAGGTGACTTCTCAAAGCGCTAACAGGCTCCGCTGGGTGAGTCCACAGCTGTCCCTCTTGTGATCATGGGACTCAGCAGCACTGACCACGTCCTTCCACGCTCTCTCACCTGCCCCCAACTGGGGGCCCATGACTTGGCATTAGCATGTTCCAAATAAAGTGATACTGGCAACAAATCCCTGTGCAGCGTCTCCATCCTGGGGCTCGAGGGAAGAGGGAGGGAGGGCCTGAGTCCTGGCCTGGACCCATGTGAGGACTTTGTCTCCTGGAGACCTCTGCGCATCTACTATGGACTCAAGATGGCATTCCCCATGACTGGTGAACCTGGACAAATCATTCCCATATCTGAGCCTCAGTTCCATCTGTAGCTGGACAGGGTTGAATGGAGCCTGAAGACCTCCTGTTATTAGACACCGCTGTGTCCCAGGTCATATTCCTCCACCCAATATGATTTCAGCTGCAGCTGTGGAGGACAGTCCGCTACATGTGGGCTGATGTCTGCTTCTCCCTCTCCTTTTTATAACCTCGTTTTTTACAACACTACTCTGCCCACCTCCCAATTGCTTTCCTTGTTTTATTCACCCCAAAGTCCTATCCTACCCTGTGAAGCCAGAGATAGCTAGCTAGAAGCACACTATTGAGCTAAGTACTGGGGACAAAAATTAAAAGAGGCCCACTGTGCTGCAAAAGACTAGCTCATCCTGTTCCATGTCTCCATGGTCTCCATTCCTCCTCAGGAGACCAAGCCTCCCCGTTTGTCCCTCAACATCACCACCTCTCATGCCATCCTCTTGTAAATCCCACAGTCTCACCTGATCCCCCACACCGCCTCTCCCTCCCAGATACCCACTGGGGCCTCTGAGACTCCACATCTGTCTTCCGTAGACTCTGCTCCATCGTCCCCATCTCCAAAGGCTTCTTCCACCTTCATGTCATGACTGACACTAGCTCGCCCATGCCTTGAAGGCTTCACTTCACCTGGAAGCTGAGACGTCATCCCACCTCCAGGCCAGGAAAAGAGATACTTGTCTTCTGTGACGTTCATGTTTATTGTTTCTGTTGGGCCAGTTCTCCCTGTTCCTCCTGCAAAGAGCCGTCTTCCCGGGTTGTCTGAGCCACTCTGTAGTGACACCACCCTCCCTGACTCCCACCTGCCACCCTGGTCACTCCCTATCATCCACAGAAGAATTTAACTCATGGCCCAGCATTGCTTTCCACCCATTTTCAGTGTCCATGTGGATACTCCACTCAAAATTCTGGCCTCACATTCTTTGCCTGCTCACTTACAATGACCTTCTTCACTCTGTCTTGGGAATCCACTCCCACGACTAGACCATTTTCAAAACCTCGCAAATATTTACTTACCAATCATGACTTCCCATCCCTCCAGCTGACTTGCTCTAATACTCCACTGCTATAATTTATGGCTGCTTTTGTGATTTCAATTTCATTGACCCACCACTTTCTCACTTTTTTATTAGTTTCCTATCTTCCCTCGTGACACAGCTTAGATTCATGGTCTATATAGTGATTCTCAACACCAACTGCACGTGAGAAGCACATGACATGAGGAGCTCTTAAAAAATATCAATGCCAGCTGGGCATGGTGGCTCATGCCTATAATCCCAGCACTTTGGGAGGCGGGTTGATCACTTGAGCCTGGAAGTTTGAGATCAGCCTGGGCAACATAGTGAGAACCCATCTCTACAAAAAGTAAAAAAACAGCTAGCCAGGCGTGATGGCACACTCCTGTAGTCCTAGCTACTCGGAAGGGTGAGGTGGGAGGATACCTTAAGCCCAGGAGGTCAAGACTGCAGTCAGCCAAGATCACGCAACTGCCCTCCAGTCTGGGTGACAGAGTGAGACCCTGTCTCTTAAAAAACAAAAACAAACAAAAAAATTAAACAAATTAAAAAAATCAGTGCCCATGCCCCATCCTAGGCCTATTAAATCAGGATGTTTGAAAGGTCCATGGGTGATTCCAATGTGCAGCTGGAATTGAGAATCACTTTCCTACCATCATAATTACTCCTGCAAGTACTGTTCATTCCCTTGCTTTTCTGTGCCTCCTTCATACCTACCTGGCAATACTCCAAGCCAGGATGAAGCCAAATATCTACCCAACTTTCTGCTTCTAAACAGAATTTCGCAGCCAGGCTTTTTTTAAACTGAAATTTGTGATCATAAACTTCAAATTGGCCTTTAATTCAAGGTTTGAGGTAAGCTCTATTTCCCATTCTCCAAGATGACTTGGTATACCTTCTATTCCCCACTTCATTTTCATGAGATGATCTTGTCTCAAAGAGACATCATCGGATGGAAATTCCCTCAGTAAATCTACAAACAAATGTACATCTACTCCATCTTCTTCTTCCCTCCTGGCATAACCAAAAGTGTTGCTATCCCGGCCAGACGCGGTGGTTCAGGCTTGTAATCCCAGCACTTTGGGAGGCCAATGCAGGTGAATCACTTGAGGTCAGGAGTTCGAGACCAGCCTGGCCAACATGGTGAAATCCTGTCTCTACTAAAAATACAAAAATTAGCAGGGTGTGATGGTGCACGCCTGTAGTCCCAGCTACTCAGGAGGCTGACACAGGGGAATTGTTTGAACCTGGGAGGTGGAGGTTGCAGTGAGCCAAGATTGAGCCACTGCACTCCAGCCTGGGTGACAGAGAGAGACTCCATCTCAAAAAAAAAAAAAAAAAAAAAAGTGTTCCTATCCCTAGGAAGGGCCCTCGATACCCTGTTCCTAGACCCTCCTGATTTCTCAAGGACTTGGTTCCTTGCACTATCCCCCTTTGAATCATCAGTTTCCTTCCCATCAACACAGAAACAAGATCTTGTGACTCATATCTTAGTCCTACTGCTTTGATTCCCCATTTCCCCCTAGATACTGCTCCATTTTTCTTGGAAAGATGGAAAACCTTTTATGGAAAAATGTGTCAAAAGAATGATTTACCCTAGCTGTCCTCCAGTTTTTTAACCCCTAAAAGAGAATCTGTTATAAAGACATGGATAACTCATGGGCAGAAATATAGCTCTTCAAGGTAGTGATATAGTCGAGGTGGTGAGTGGCAGGCCACTTGGAATCCACAGAGTCCTCACTCTCTGCCTTCTCCTCCACATTTCTTGTGTCTCATTCTTTTTTTCAGTAATGCAGACTCCCCTACACTCCTCGAACGGAATTTAGGTCTATTCAACCTTGGCCAGAAGAGCAGAGCTGGATAATGGAAAACGCTTACTTGAAGCCTGTGTAACATGGTGAAACCCTGTCTCTACTAAAAATACAAAAAAATTAGTTGACCATTGTCTTAATCTCTATGTGCTTCTGTAACAAAATCCCTGGAACTAGGTAATTTATAAATTATGGATACTTATTTCTTATGATTCTGGAGGCTGGGAAATCCAAGATCAAAGCACCAGCAGTGTCTGTGTCTGGTGAGAGCCTGGTCTCTGCTTCCAGGAGGGCACCTTTTTGCTCTGTCCTCACATGGCAGAAGGCAGAGGGGCAGAAGGGCAAAGGGCCTAGCTAGTTCCCCCAGCACGCATGTGGTCACTAACACCTTCATGAAGGCACATCCCTGCCCTGGCCCCCTAAAAGTCTTTTTTTTTTTTGAGACATGGTCTTGCTCTGTCACCCAGGCTGGAGTGCAGAAGCGCCATCCCGGCTTACTGCAGCCTCGACCACCCAGGCTCAAGTGATCCTTCCACCTCACAAAATTATTTTATTTTTATAGAGATGGGATCTCTCACTGTGTTGCACAGGCTGGTCTCAAACTACTGGGCTCAAGTGATCCTCCTGTCTCAGCCTCCCAAAGAGTTGGGATTAGAGGTGTGAGCCACCGCACTTGGACAAAACTTCTTATAAGGACACTAATCCCACCATAAGGGCCTGACCCTCACGACTTCATCTAAACCTCCCAAACGCCCCATCTCCTGGGAGGGGAACACCGGTCAGTCCATTGCACCTCCTTTACCTGGCAGACCCTACCTCTTGCTTTAATTCTGCTGAGGCATCACTTCCGCAGGAAATCCTTGACTAAGCACCTCATATCCCCCACCGCTTCACTCTAAGGTGACAACGCGGGCTTTAATTCATGTTTTGTGCTTACCTCTTTCATAGCCCTTGTCTCTGTTTTGTAATTATCTGTTTCTGGTCTGATTCCCTAATAGATCGTGAGTTCCTTGAAGGCAAGGCCTTTGTCTCATTCAACTGTGTTCTCCCAAACCCTAGAACACGGCCTGACCCATGGTAGGCAACCAATGATACTTTTTGAGTGAATAGAACAAAAAGTATTGCCCTCCTTAATAAAAGAAAACCTAGAACTTCAAGGCTGACATTGGCCTTCGCGTAGCCCAATCAGAGCGCTTTGCCCTTGCTGCAGAGGACTAAAGGACGCCACGCCGCCGTTGCCTAGTAACTGTCGCCGGAGGGAGGCGGGGAGGGTCGCAAGCGCGCCGCCGGCGTCCAATCAGGACCTGCGTTCCGGGAGCCAATAGCAGCTTCGAGAGCCGCTCACCTAGAGCGGACTACACTTCCCGTCACGCCCCGCCGCCTGGGGCTGGGCAGTGACCGTAAAGCTGTTCGCTCGGTGCGACGCAAGTCTCAGCTCAGCGCGCTTATCCTGGGTCCACCGGCGCTACCGCCCCCCGACGTGAGAGAGCGAAGTTCTTGGGCCGCGCTCCCTCCCTACCTGGGTGCCCTCCCCCTCCGGGAGCCTGGGTCCCCGGGGCGGTCGCGGCGGCTGCATCCTCAGGCCAGGCCGCGGGGGGAGGGGGCGGCACGGGCCTCCGAAAGCGGGGCCATGGAGCCCAGAGAGTCGGGGAAGGTAGGACTGGAAGGCCCGGGGGCCGCCCGCTCCCTCCCGAGGATCCCCGAGCCGGGCTCGGGCGAGGCGGGGCGGCTCGGGCGGAGGCCCCGCAGATGAGCCAGGCTTGCAGGGAAGGACTCGCCGGCCCGCCCTCTCTTCCCGCACTTCGGCGCCCGACCCCGGGAGGGTGGCGGAGAGGAGCGGACGCTTCCGTTCGGTGTCCGCGCATCCTCCCCGAGCTGCCGAGCGTCCGCTGGGTCGATGCTGGGTTGGGTGACCCCCGAGTGGAGCGATGCGAAGGTGCTTCCTGTTTTCCCCACCACCTTCGGCGTTTTGAAGAGGCCCTGCTAAGGCTTGGAGTCTGGATCGGACGCCAGTGGGAGCTGCAGGGTGGGACGCTTGAGGGCTTGACCCTGCCTAGATCCTCCTTACCAAGAAAGGGCTGAAAAGAGAGGGCATCTGGCATGCTTTTTGCCACTTCTGTTTCTAGGTTATGTACTTCATGGAATATCTGGGCATTGCTTAGAAACCTGTGTCATAAATTGGCTTTGGGCAAGAGGCTTTGAGTTGGAAGAAAAGGTGGAAAGAAAGTGCTTGGGGGCGGAGTTCAGGGATTTGACGGGATTGCCAGCGCTTCCAGGCCGTGTCATCCAAGACCAGTGTGGTTGTGGGCACATTAGCTTGGAGACAGTGGCAGCCTCTTGGGACTAACATCTTTCTGGATGTTGTTTGCTGCCAGTTCTTGAGTATTGTTTCTTATTTGGCACAGAGGAGAATTCTCTCAACAAACGTTTTCGACTGTTTATTGAGTCCCTTAAAAAACTGTCCATTTAATAAACATTTGTGATCTGTGATTTGCATTGAACGAGATGCTGGAAGTATGAGGATAAATAGGAAATGATCACCTTTCTCAAGGAGCTCTCCTGCAGTTTTCACTTCAATAACTTGGACACGCCTGAAAGGGTTGTCCCACACGAAAAGAGAGAAAAGGATAATGAGGTTCTTTTGATGCTGTAGTTTTTCCTGGGAAGACTAGGAAGGACTCTGAATTTCAAAAGAGGTGATTTCTCGCATGAGCATCTCTTCCATCCTCCCTCCCTCCACAAGCTACAGTGATGCATGTAGCAGACACGGCACCTACAGAGTACGTGGTCCAAGCCAATAAAGCTCAACAAAACCCAAGCAAAGATGGAGCTTATGGCCCTTACCCTTTGGAAATATCCCCAGATTGGTTTAGATTGAACCTGAATTTGAATAAAGAGAAGCAAAATGTAGGGGGAAGAAGGATTATAAAATATTGGGATTGATATTGGTATCAGTGATTTGAAGTTGATTTCCAAGCTATTCTGTTCAGTCAGAGGCTTTCTTAGCCTTTAACGGGAGAAGAGAAATACGGTCATGCGCTGTATAACAAGGTTTCCATCAACACCGCTCTCACGTACAATCCCCTGAGACTACAGTGGGGCTGAGAAATTCCTATCACCTGGTGACATCTTCATGATCCTGACCCTGTGTAGGCTTAGGCTAATGTGTGTGTTTGTGTCTTAGGTTTTAAGAAAGCTTAAAAAGTAAAAAAAAAAAAAAAAAAAAAAAAAAAAAAAATTTAAAAATACAAAACCTCATAGAATTAGAATATAAAGAAAAATACTTTTTGTTGATGGAATGGTTTGCTGGAAAATAAAAATACAAAAATATTTAAAGAAAAATATTGTACAGGTGTACAATGTGTGTTAAGCTAAGTGTTATTACAAAAGAGTCAAAAGTTTAAAAAATTAAGTTTATAAAGTAAAACAGTTACAATAAGCTAGGGTTAATTTATTATTGAAGAAAGAAAAATTTTTGATAAATTCGGCGTAGCCTTAGTGTGCAGTGTTTATAAAGTCTACAGAAGTGTTCAGTCATGTCCTAGGCCTTCACATTCTCTCACCACTCACTCACTCACTCACTCACTCACCCAGAGCAACTTCCAGTCCTGCAAGCTCCATTCATGGTAAGTGCCCAATACAGATGGACCTTTTTTTTTTTTTTGTCTTTTCTACCATATTCTTACTGTACCTTTTCTATGTTTAGATACGCAAATACTTACCATGTGTTACAGTGGCCTACAGTTTTCAGTACAGTAACATACTGTGTAGGATTGTAGCCTAGGGGGCAAAAGGCTATATACCATATAGCCTAGATATGTAGTAGGCTGTACCATGTAGTTTTGTATAAGTACACTCTGTGATGTTCCACAATGACAGAACTGCCTAAGGACACATTTCCTAGAACTTATCCCTGTTGTTAAGCAACACATGACTGTACAAACATTTTGGGAGGTAGAGGAGAAACCTGATTCCGTGTCCTGTCCAACCACTAAGTGAAACCTCAGAGACTGGAAATTTCACCCTTGATTATAATCTTGATTTTAGGGTATCTCAGAAAGGTGCTCACCCTTCCCAAAGATAGTTGTTTTCTAATATGGGAAATGAGAACTTCATACAAGAATGAAATAAAGTAATTACAAAACCAACTGTCAGTGTAAGATGTGTTGCAAATGAGTGACAAGGAATAGCGGTGCTGTTCTACAACTCCACTCCGAACAGCATTCTTATGGCTCAGAACTGGGAGACTACCTCGTGAGATAGTGGTTTGGTCTATTACTAGACTCTTCCTTGGGTGCTGTTTTGTGGTCTTTATTAACTGACAGCCATCTTGGGCCATTGGATTGATATCCCACATTGAATGTAGGACATCTTGCCTGTCATTGACAGAATAATGGATAAGGGTCAGACTTTTCCCCATCATGTTCTATCCCATGATCCTGTTTTATTTTCTTCCTAACCCTTATCACTAAATAAAATTCTCATGTTCATTTATTTATTTACGTATTTGTTGACTTGACTCTTACATCCCCAGCTAGAACAGTGGAGCAGTTCCTGGCATTTAATAGGGTCTCAGGAAGGAATGCTCATAAAATAGCATCACTACAGGAGCCCTTTTGCTGCAAGGTGTGGGTGCTCTGAAGAACACTGCAGCCCGCCACCTCATGTGCCTCCTAGGAGACTGTGCTGTTGGTGCCCCGAAAGAGAAGTCTATATGTGTACTTGTTGCTGTATGTATTTGTTGCCTCAACGTTTCTGTTTCTTGGCCCTCTCTATCTTTCCTGTACAAGTGACTGATACTCCTTTCTCATTTTTTTCTGAACATGGTTCTATTATTGCACTTATATCTTAGTTGTCTGCCACCTCCTGATAGATTTTAATCTCATATCTTTGAATTACCATGCATCAAGCACATAGAAACACTTAAGTAATAAATGTGTGTTGAATGAAAAAATGAATTAAATGCCTATAAAATACTTTCCATATAGCATGGTTGTGGGGGGAAGGGTGGTGTTGATGAAGGAAGTTATAAAATCAAGCAGCATAGATTTCCTTAACACTGGACTCCAGGGGGGATATAAAGCCTTCCTTGCTCAGGAGAAGGATAAATGCTTGGGCCAGGTGGTTAGGAAATCCTTCCTGAAAGAGAACGTGAATCGCGACTTTATGGGTGGGTAGATTCTAAGTTGGTGGGAGGAAGTGTGCAGTCAGGATCTAAAGACTGGGAATGTAGAGAGAGGAAAGGTGCGAGATAGGCTGGGTGATTAAAATGATATGAATCTGGCTGGAGGAGACATTCCAAGCGAGGCAATGCACAGAGCTAAAGTTAGAAAGTGGGTTAGATTCAGACTGAGGGGACTTTGGTGCTAGACTGAGAAGTCAGACAGCTTTACCTTGTAGAGAGTGACTGGGAACCGCTAAAATAGAACATCGAGAGAGATTCTTTGCATTACACATAGGTGAGGAGCTCCTCTTATTCACGCAGATTTGTGTTTTCTTTACATTGCAGTCACCTGGAATCAGAAGGCTCTTGCTATAATATTGCTTAAGAGAGATACCAGGTGTTAGTGTTATCACTCTTGTTAGGAAGACACTATTATCCAAATGGACAGTCCTAGCCATGTTCCTCCTCAGGTGGAGCTAACGTGATGGGCTCCTTGGCCCTTATGCTCACCTGTGCATGCCCGGGAAGGATGGGCATGAAGAGGGATCCTGGCTGTCCTGAATCACAAGTGTTTTAACCTGCCCCAATCTGGACAGGCTGCCCTCCCGTCCTGGGATACAGCAGTCATCCTGAATCTGCCTTCAGCCTAATCTTGGGGTTGTCTTCAATGCTTCCCCACGTTGGCTGTCCCTAGGTTGTATCTCATGGTGACTCCTGTTTGACCACTTTCTTTGAGTGGAGCTTGTCTTCCAATCGGTTTTTGGAAATATTTCATTTTGCTTTGGAAGCCACTCGAGCAAACAGTTATTTAAATGTACACATTTGGCAGTACAATTCCATTTTTGTTTTTAAAACTGTTCATACATATTCATAGACTAAAGACTGGGAGGTTATATACCAAATGTTAACAGATTCTCAGGAAAGAAGGGTAATGAAAAGTAATTATTTTTCAATAAAGGGAATGTAGGTGATCTTAATACATTTTTTTCTGCTTATTTCTATTGTCCAAATTTTCTGCAGTCAACATGAGAAAAATCTATTATAATAGTGACCGGTAAGAATGATTGATATCATTTTCCTCAAGAAATGTCTACTGTTGAGGTTAAAATCGATATTCCACCTATTTTAAATGGCATGCTGTTATTTCCCAATGTTATTTTTCTTTGGAGTGAGAAGTTTGTTTTTTGTTGATAATTTGATTTATTTCTTTTTAAAATTTCTTTAACTAGGTAATGTTTTCATGGCACAAAACTTAAAATGATAAACATTTCTACTTCTTTTTCTGTTGATTTCTTTTATAACACTTTGTTGCGTGGCTGTGGTACCTTAAACCTCTTTGATGGTGTAGCTTGATGATAGTTTTTTTTAAGTTTTTTTCTCCATGCCTTCCCTCCATTTTCTTAGCAACCTGCCCCCCAAACCCCAACACCTCCCATCTATTTTGGTCTCTATAGTCCCTGTTAGATCCTTTCCCCGAGTGTCTGGTAGTCCAGTCTGCTGACATTTAGTGGTGGAAGACCGAAAATGTAATAGCTCTGTGCTTGTGCGAGGGAGGACGGGCTTATCAGCTGGAGCCTCATGTAAAGGAACCTGGGGAGGCATTTGTTGGGGCACAGCCCTCCCCTAGTTCTTGTTCCATTGGGCTGCCTGCCCGCCCTCCCATGCTGGAGGTTTCCGGTGCTGGAAGATGCCAAGCCTTTGAGGATGCAGAGTGTACCTTGGGTGGTTCTCCGCTTTGCCCGCTGCCGGGTGAGGGTTTGATTTTCTTGGATCTGCTGAAGTGACTGCTTTTGCATCTGCTTCTTGGTTTTCAAGAGTGTATTGCTGTCATCTCCTTGTTGCGCCCCCTATTATAGTGGGGGTTTTGTTTTGGGGAGGGGGTCTTTTAAATTCACGGGGAATAAACAAAATTAAATGGGCTTGTTTAATCTGCCATCTTAATCTGGAACTCCTCCAAACACTTTCTGAACTCCCTACCCCTCAGAGCCCCTTTACAAGCCACACGGGATGTAGATCTCAGCCCCAAAGCATTGCCTGTTTTCATCATCGACTTCATTCACAGACATAGTTCTAAATGACTTTCAGCTATTTCTAGAAATTAGACACATCTTCCTAAGCGAAGGTTTACCATGTTTAAGGTTCCATGAAAGAATGTGCCCTAAGTTGTTGCCCAGCCCCTGGCTGAGAAGAAACGGGCGTGTGGGAGGCGGGTGAAGAGCACACAGGGAGGGGACGGAGAAGCTCCTGAGCCAGCCTCCTTCATGGCTCAGTTTCATTTCAGTGCGTGGCACTTCCCAGAAGAAACGAGTCTCGTTGTCACTGTGATCTGTACCCAGGTGGGGAGAGATGGGGTGTGGGCCATGCATGTAAATTGACAACACCCCTCCCCGTGTAGGGTGCCCTCAGGTGGTCAGGAACACTTTTGGAAGATAAATCTAAGGAAGAGAGTGGTACTTAGCAGCTGTCATTTTCCTTTCAGGCTCCTGTGACGTTTGATGACATCACTGTGTACTTACTCCAGGAGGAATGGGTGCTGCTGAGCCAGCAACAGAAGGAGCTCTGTGGTTCCAACAAGCTGGTGGCACCACTGGGTATGGGTGCCCATCCACATCCCTGCCACTGTCAATTTAGATCGGCATTCCCAACCTCATCTGCGTCAGGAACACTGGAGAGAGTTTTCTGGAATCCAAGCATTTGTCTAGGCATCTTTACTCCACCTGTCTGCTCGATCCCGTATCTACCTTAATTGCATGCAAATTCACACATCACCCTTTCTCTTCTCCCCTTAAAATGGTCAAGAGAAGTGGGGCAATCTGGCAGGCCTGGGCTAGACTCCTGGGTCTGTCTCCTGGTGCCTCAGAATGCCCCAAGGGGCCGGGAGGGAAACTCGGAAACTAGGCCTGTGGATCTGTGGAGCCCGTAGGACACTGGAGGTAGGAAGCAGTGGTGGCAAGAGCATCACATTTGTGATGTGGAAATCTGGTCTCAATCCCAGCTCTCCACTGGATACTTGAATGCCCTTGGCCTTTTTAAGCCTGAATTTCCATCGTCTTAGAGATGAGTGAGATAAAACAGTTTAAGAGTTTGCACAAGTGTAGGTATTTTCATCTCATCTATTTTTGAATGCTCTTTCCTTTGATTCTTTGGGTAGACTTTCTGTGCGAAGGACAGAGGTGGTTGGTTGTATTTCAACATGTGTGTACACATATGCACTGTTTGCTGATTGCAAGTTGATGACTGTCTACCATGCCTGTCTTTTCTTATTTCATCTTGGCCCCTGTGTAAGGCACGGTAGAAGCAACAATCAGCATTTTATGGGTGGAAGGATTGCAGCTGGGGTGAGTCTTCCTGTGCCGGCTAAAAGAGTTTGAAAACCACTGATTCTTCCAAACAAGAAGTTGCAAAATAGCAGCTCATGGGCCAGATATGGCTCACTGCTTGGAGTTTTGTTTTGCTTTGTTTTTTGGCTTTCATTTCTTTTGTTTGGCTTCTTAAAAATATTAAGTAAATTGCCAATATTTAGTTATTAGGAGTTTTCACATAAGAATATGGATTTCTGGCATCTCTTGACAAACGGGATGGTGTGGCAGGGCTGAGCCTGCATCCTGAGTGGCAGCCCTTCTGCAGCTGAGTAGCTGCTGTTCCCTTACGTCTTGCAGGTTGCCACAGCCCCTGCACTTGGCCTGGTTTCTTCTGTTATATTACCAGGCTGGCCCCTCTCAGTATTTGGGTTTCTGACCCATAGTTTGTATACCTGTTTAGCCTCCTTGTGCCCTCATTCCTTTCTCCTAGTCTCCTATTCTATTAGGGGCCTCACAGATAAGAGTTTCTAAACCACTGAACCACTGTGCTGAACCACCAAGACTCCTACTTTCCTCCTTGGCCCCTTATCTCACCATGCCGAGAGATGTCGCAGACAGATACCTCCTTCGTGTTGTGACCCGGAGCCAGGTCTTCATAGTGCTTTTCTCTCTCTCTCGCTCTCTTTTTTTTTTTTGGACTCAGGACCAACTGTTGCCAATCCTGAGCTGTTCCGCAAGTTCGGACGAGGGCCAGAGCCATGGCTTGGCAGCGTCCAGGGCCAGAGGAGCCTTCTGGAGCATCACCCAGGTGAGTGTGGAACTGCACTCAGGGGCAGATGCTTGGCTGGAGAGGGAGCATGGGCAGCCCCAGGACTCCAGGCTCATCCTCTGCCCTTCCTGTTCTCCACCAACTGACACTGCTGTTCTCCTCCCAGGTGCCATCTGATTAATACCTAAATATACACACTGCCCCTAATGTCCTTCTCCAACCTCTCATCTCCCATTGTCTTATTTCTACCCAGGAGAATATGTTTATTTATAATTATTATAAGTTCCATGAAGGCATGACTTTGTCTTATTTACAACCATATTTCTAGTGCTTAGAACAATACCTGGCACCCAGCTGTTGCACAGTAGATAATCACTGAATGAATGAATGAATGAATGAACAGCTGTCTGCTAAGTTCTAGGGATTTATCTTTTCTTTCCTCTTTTGATAAGACCCTCCTGTTCAGGGGTTGGCTTAGCCAGGCCAGATGACATCTTGGCATTACGTAAAATAACTGCGTTAACCCAGCCCCTACTGTGGGAGAAGAGGGAGGTGGGGAACAAGATCCTGTATGAATCAAATCACAGAAGTTTGTTTTCCCTTGTGATTTCTCTCAGACCACAAAGAGCTCTAGACAGCTTTGTGACTCTGGAAAGTATCATAGAGACAAATTTGTTTCATTTCCCCTTGCTTGGCTCTTATTTTGAGCCTTCTGACTCTTACTAACAGCTTCATGCCCTTACAGTGTTGTAGACCAGTCTGTTGGCCTGGCACAAAAATGTTGCGTCCTCAGCCACTGGGCATTGGAACTTATGTTGGTACATAAGAAGTGGTTCCACAGGAGTTAGAGTCTTTTGAGTTGCATTTCATCTAAGTGAATAAAGAAACTTCTAGTTCAGCTTGAAGAAGAAAGATGTGAGGTCATGAGAGTCCTCATCTGTTCGAAGGTTTATGTTATAAGAGAGGAATTAGACTTGAGTTTCTCTTGAGAACTGGGTCAGCATCCAGTACTTTGAGGTAGAAGTATTCGAAGATAGATTACAGCTTAAGGAAAACTACCTGGGGACCAAAACTGCCTGCCCAGGAGATAGGTAGCTTTCTTCCCCTGGAGTTGCGGTGTGTGGCTTTAGTGATCTTTTTTAAATCCTATATTCTATTATGTCAGTGTTCTTATCCATAAATAAATTTTGACTCCTGAAGATTGTACGTTTCATAGATCAGATTGCAAAGACTTCCTTTTGGCCGGTTGTATCTGTCCTTTAAATTCAAAAAACAAAAAGGAGGGGGAGGGTTCCGTAAAGCCCATCCCTTTGGCTTTATTCTGGATAGGTGAGGGAAGGGCCTGCAGACTTGGCCAGGACTAGAAGAAAATTCAGGTGTGTGTGTGTGTGTGTGTGTGTGTGTGTGTGTGTGTGTGCTTTCCGTCTTTCATATTTGGTGTACCTCAGAGCCCCTGTGAGTTGCAGTGGCTCTAACTATAGGATTTTAAAGCCAATCCCTTCTGTCTCTTCTCTAAAGGAAAAAAACAGATGGGCTACATGGGAGAAATGGAGGTGCAAGGTCCCACCAGGGAGAGTGGACAGTCCCTCCCGCCTCAGAAGAAAGCCTACCTTTCCCACCTCAGTACAGGCAGTGGACACATCGAGGGAGACTGGGCCGGAAGAAACAGGAAACTTCTGAAGCCCCGGTCCATCCAGAAGTCGTGGTTTGTGCAGTTTCCGTGGCTGATCATGAATGAGGAGCAGACGGCTCTGTTCTGCTCTGCTTGCCGAGAATACCCCTCCATCAGGGACAAACGGTCAAGACTAATAGAAGGTTATACAGGACCATTCAAGGTGGAGACTCTCAAATACCACGCGAAGAGCAAGGCCCACATGTTCTGTGTCAATGCCTTGGCAGCGAGGGACCCCATCTGGGCAGCCCGGTTCCGGAGCATCAGAGACCCACCTGGAGATGTTCTGGCCAGCCCGGAGCCGCTCTTCACTGCAGATTGCCCCATATTCTACCCCCCAGGGCCTCTGGGAGGATTTGATAGCATGGCTGAGCTCCTGCCAAGTTCAAGAGCTGAACTAGAGGACCCTGGGGGGGATGGAGCAATTCCTGCAATGTATCTAGACTGCATTTCAGATTTGAGGCAAAAAGAAATCACTGATGGCATCCACAGCTCCTCAGACATTAATATTTTATATAATGATGCAGTAGAATCCTGCATTCAGGTAATACGTTTATAATGATTGCTGTATCTTACAGAGAAGGATTCTATACTGAGAACGATGTATATCCATGCTGATGATGGAAAAAAGAATACTAGTGATAACCCACTGCTAACATCATAATGTTGGCATATACCAACATGCTTATCATGGACTAGGCATTGTTTTAGACGCGTTCCATGTATTATCTCATTTAATTTGGACAACAACCCTATTATCATCTCCTTTTTGCAAATAACGTAATTAGTGAGATAGAACATTTCTACTTCTGGTATAAAGGAAACAATCATCTTTATTCAGAATCCAAAATAAACACAGATCTCAAGAAATAGCCTACAACCACAAAATCACAGAGCTCTTAAGTAGTCAATATTTAAATTTGTTTTGTTTAAGAGACAGGGTATGGCCCTGTCACCCAGGCTGGACTGTGGTGTGATCATAGCTCACTGCAGCCTTTACCTCCAAGGCTCAAGCAATCCTTCCCACTCAGCCTCCCAAGTAGCTGGGACCACAGGTGTGTGCCCCCACACCTGGATAATTTTTTATTTTTCGTAGAGATGGGAATCTCACTATATTGCCCAGGCTGGTCTTGAACTCCTGGACTCAACCAGTCCTCCTACCTCATCCTCCCAAAATGCTAGGATTACAGGTATGATCTACCACTCCTGGCTAGTATTTTTTAAATTTTAAGTTTGGAGTCATGTTGCACTTGTAAACATTGCAGTTTTTTCACACATGTTGTTTGATGTAATGTTTCTGATGTTGCTGTGAGGCCGGTAGAGCAGGTGCTATTAAACTCATCTTGTTGGAAGAACACAGACTTTGGAGGAAGTGACATGTCCAGGGTCCTAGAGCTCTTGTAGTCAGTGCCAGAATCTGCCCAGAGTCCTGAGCTGCCAGCCCATGCTTTCCTTCCACTCCCCGCAGCACTGCTGGGCACTAAAGTACTCTAGCGCCCACCTTAGGTTTCCTTTGTAGTTACCGAATGCTTTGGAAAGTTGTCCTGTAAGGAAACTACGTTCATTGGAAGCTTCCCCATTTCTCACCTATTGCATAGAAGTAGAATTTTACAACAAATCATTTTTAACTCCCCTCCAGGAGTCTGGTGAGAATAGCTCGGAGGTTCCTCCTAGAGCTGACATCATAAGGAATCCAGTTCAACTTCGTAAACTCTCATTTTTCCAAAATCCAGAAAAACAGCATAGCTCATTTCTTTTCCTGTTCCTGATATTTTTTAGTATTAGAAGCTAATGAACCGATGTAACCTTTTATCATCTGAATTCAGCAGTGAGGCGTGTGTAAACCAGTCACTGGTCATAAGCATCTTTAGCTTTTTTGACCACCTCTTTGTTCCCATCCCATTGGGAAATCTTAGGTGCTCCTAGAGGCACACAGTCACCTTTTAGTTGTAGGTGACCAGGAGGCAGCTCTCAGGACTCTGAGGACAGCATGCAGTGAGAGGCTCTGCCCAGCTGCCTGTTCTTTCCACACGCTTTCATTTCCGCCCAGGAGATCCTAGGATCTGACCAAGTCTCACTTGGCTTTTACCTACTAATTCTGGCCTCCTGAATTTGATTCTTTGACTTTCAGTGGATAAATTAATTCCTCTGAGTGCATCTGGGCCTCTTGGTGAGCTTCCCAGGAGAAATAGGGCTTCCAAAGGCCCCAGAAGTGTCACGTGGGAGTCTGGCTCGGCAGGCGGTGCTGAGTGGCCGCTGCTCTTTGTTCCAGGACCCTTCTGCAGAGGGGCTGTCGGAGGAGGTTCCTGTGGTGTTTGAGGAGCTGCCGGTGGTGTTCGAGGATGTGGCAGTGTATTTCACCCGGGAGGAGTGGGGCATGCTAGACAAGCGGCAGAAGGAGCTGTACAGAGACGTGATGCGGATGAACTACGAGCTGTTGGCATCCTTGGGTAAAGACGCACCGAGCCTCTTATTCACCACCCTCCTTTGACTTGGGAAGCCCACAAGGGGAGCTGTGGCTTGTGGTTATCTTCCCATTCCTGCCCCCTCCCTGTGTGTAGGCAGAGACCGATCCTGTCTTTTGCACCTCATAACTCCCCTGCTTGGGGTAACTGTGCTTTATCACCTTCTCATCCACCCACCTGTTCATCCATTCGTCCCCCACCAAACATTTTGGAGTACCTACTATGTGCCAGATGAACACAGCTGATCCATGGTCTCTGCTTTCAAGGGCCTAGCACGTTTGTGGGAGAGACAGACATTTTAATAAGAAACTATAAAATAATACAGTCTCCCATAAAAGAGCTTCCAGAAGAGTACCCGGGGCTACTGAAGAAGAGGGATTTGATTTCCTGGGCATTGGTGGGAGGAATCAGGAAGCCTTTATAGAGTAGGAAATGTTTTAATTGAGTTCAAAACCAGGTGGATCAGAAGGAGGAAGGGCATTGAGCCATGATGGAGGGGACGGCCTGGCAGAGCCACCCCTATCTGTGCAGCCCAGGGCTAAGGCTCCTGCATCCTGGCCAGGCGCCGGCAAGGGTTGGCAGCCTTCAGCACGGGAGTCATGGGGTTTGGACCTTGGCAGATTAGGAAGAGGGCAGTGCTTCTTGCTCCTCAGGATGGTGCTCTCCTCTCCTGCATCTGCTGTTTTATCTTCTCTTTGCCTCTTTCTGGCAGATTAGCAAGGTTCTTATGAAGCATCAAGATGGAAAGACAACTTTTTTTGTTGGAGACAGTCTCACTCTGTCGCCCAAGCTGGAGTGCAGTGGCGTGATCTTGGTTCACTGCAACCTCTGCCTCCCAGGCTAATTTTTGTTTTTTGAGTAGAGACGGGGTTTCACCATGTTGGCCAGGCTGGTGTCGAACTCCTGACCTCAGGTGATCCACCTGCCTTGGCCTCTCAAAGTGCTAGGATTACAGGTATGAGCCAGCACACCTGGCCAACATGTTTTTGTCATTGTTCGTAATTTTTAAATGGCTTCCCAAACATTCAGAAGTGACTAAAATTATTTATTTTGTGGTGACAGAGGTTTTGTTGTCATGCCCTAGGTTAGGTGTATCCCCTCAGAGTATCACTGCCCGTGCTGTGCTGAAGAGCAGTGAGAGTGAGGGCGAAATTCACACCTGTCTTAAAAATGCATACCCTCTGCAAAAAGTTGGGTTTTCCTTTAATGTAATCGGCACTAGCGACTCAGTTTCACTGTGAGGCCCCCGGGCGATTGTGAAGGTACCAGGCGATGGTGTTGCTGGCCCAGGGCAGCTTCTGCAGCAGTGCAGGGAGGGCTGGCCAGGATTGTTTAGCCTGTGCCTGTTTCCTCACGTTTTGTGTGTTGACAGAGCATGATCTAAACATTTTATCAGTTTCTTTTTCATTTACGTAAATTAGGCAGTAGGGAAATCTCAGCTAACTAAGGTCTTTAAATTTTATTTGGATGAACAAAAAATGTAATCAGAGGGAAGGGAACTCATTTTCCTCGAGGGTCAGAGGCAGGAATCAGAAAGGCTTTCTAGGGGGTGGGCCTGGCCTCTCCGGTTGTCTGTGAAATTGAGACAGGTATGGGAGTCTAGAAACGGAGTTGCATGTGTGTGATTCCTTTCAGTTACTTTAATTGGATCTCTGGTTATCCTTGAACTATCCCCGAATTTAAACAGTTCTTCATGTTTGAGATATAGAAGCATCTTAAGGAGCCTGGGGACTATGGGCAGGGCCTGGCATAAGCTATTTGTATGTTTAAAAGTGGTATATAATAGTATTAAATTGGGATATAAAGTAGTGTTAAAACATAGTGGAGATTCTTTAATTGTTATTATTATTTTTACTTTGGCTTGTTTTTTTTTTTATTTCCCACACTTTACCCTCCATAACAAATGCTCTAAGAGTTGAAAACCAAATATTATTTTGCATTATCTTTTAATACACAAAACAACTTCTTGGGGTGAACTCAGTTTTGTGTGTGTGTGTGTGTGTGTGTGTGTGTGTGTGTGAGAGAGAGAGAGAGAGACAGGCTGTCACTCTGTCACCCAGGCTGGAGTGCAGTGGTGCCATCATAGCTCACTGTAACCTTGAACTCCTGGGCTCAAGCAATCCTCCTGCCTTAGCCTCCCAAGTAGCTGGGACTACAGGCGCATGCCACAACACCTGGCTAATGTTTAAATTTTTTTGTAGAGATGGAGTCTCACTTTGCTGCCCAGGCTGGTCTCAAACTGCTGGACTCAAGTGATCCTGCTGACTTAGCCCCCAAAGTGTTGGATTACGGCGTGAGCCACTGCACCTGGCTTGCCATATCTGATGAAGTCTGTTGCTTCTTCCCAAAAAGCAGCCAGAAATCTCAATTACATCCCACTGTTAAGAAACTAATATTTGTCATTAATGGAAATAGACAGGCCAACATAGGGACTATGTGGGTAGCCCTTGCTTTTATTTGTAAAGGTGTCATCGTATGCTGAGTGGCCACTCACTGCAGGCGGGCAGTTTCTTGTCCACAGGAGAAGTCGGTAACTACAGCCAGGCCTTACAGAGCTGGGGGAAGGCGTTGTGTCACTCATGGAAAACAACACTGAGTGGGAGGGCCCTAAAGAAGATGAGCAGGGGAGTTCGAGTCCCCCAGCTTCTCCACGGCAGGACATGTGATGATGGCCTCCAAGTGGGGGCAGCCGGAGCTAGAGAAAGAAGAACCAAGGTGAGGGGCTAGAGTGGCATCTATTTATTTGTTTGTTTGAGATGGGGTCTCTCTATATTGCCCAGTCAGGACTGAAACTCCCGGGCCCAGGCGATCCTCCTGCCTCCATCTCCGGAGTATCTGGGATTACAGGCACACGCACTGCACCTGGCTAGAGTGGCTTTTGCAGAATGGATTCATGGGATAGGGCCTGCTGGCCCTTGGTGAAGTTAGCCTGGAAGGATGAGGAGTCCTTTGTAGGCCAAACCATTGTTATGGACTGTTATGGAATGTGGGTGTTTGTGGGTGTGTGCACGCACTCGCCACAGTTATGTGCCCTCCTTCTTTTTCCATTACTAAGTCATAGAAAACGCTGAAAATTCCCCTCCATTTCATTTGTTTGGAAGGGAACAAAAAGAAGAGGTTTTGATAAGATGTAGGCTGCAGCTTCAGAGAGGTACCATCAGGGTACGGTATTCCTGGGGCCAGGGTAGTGGCGCCAGCGGCAGTCAAAGGTGGACAGTACCCAAAAGGAATATAAATGGAGGCAAACAGATTTGGGAACATTTGGTCCCTGTTTGTTTTCAATTATTCTTTAAAAATATTTCTGCCGGGTGCGGTGGCTCACGCCTGTAATCCCAGCACTTTGGGAGACTGAGGCAGGTGGATCACCTGAGGTCGGGAGTTCGAGACCAGCCTGGCCAACATGGCGAGACCCCATCTCTACTAAAAATACAAAAATTAGCCGAGCGTAGTGGCACACACCCTTAGTTCCAGCTACTCGGGAGGCTGAGGCAGGAGAATCGCTTGAACCTGGGAGGTGGAGGTTGCAGTGAGCCAAGATCGTGCCACTGTACTCCAGCCTGGGCGACAGAGCCAGACTCCATCTCAAAAAAAAAAAAAAAAGAAAAATGACAGTCCCCTGTCCCACCTTTCTCTTTTACAAAGTCCTGTTCCCCAGAATCTTGTAGCTGTTTCTTCCAGTAATTTGCCGCATTATTTCTAAATAACGTATGTGGACATTATCTTAGGAGGGACGGACTCCAGCAGGACGCGCTTATAAAACAATTGCATCCTCCCGTTCACCGCTGAGCGTGTCAGCTCTGGGGGCCTTTTCTTTCTCACCCTCTGGGTTAAATCTAGGCAGGGCCTGGAACTTTTTCTTATCACACTCAAATAACATGAAATCTTCCTGTTCTAATTTCAGTGAGTGCAATGCCTGGTACAAAACTCTTCAAAAGTGTCCCGATCAAAAAAAAGACAGAGAAAGGCTGGCAAACTACCTCAATTAAAGGAGACTGAAGAGGTGTGACAACTTGAGTGCATGATGCTAGGACAGATGCTGGGCTATAGAGACATTTTGGGGACAAGTGAAGAAATTTAGTATGAACTTAGATTAGATAATAGTATGATATCAGGGTTGAGTTTCCTGGTTTTGATCATTATAACTCTGGTTATATTATAACTTTGCTTTCTGCTGCCCCATTTCAAAGGACTGCAGACTCATGTATTATCTCACAACTCTGCAGGTGGGGAGTCCAGGTGGGCCTGATCAGGTTCTCTGCTTAGAGTCTTAGCCCAAACCAAGGGGCCGGCCAGGCAGGCTCCTGTCTGGAGGCTCTGAGCTCACTTATGCTGTTGCCAGAATCTAGCTCCTTGCGGTTCTCCTGCTGCCTGCCAGCGGGGAGCACTTTCAGCCCAGGAGCTGCTCTCAGGTGCTTCCCTGTGGCCCCCTCCGTGCTCAGGCCGGCAGCAGTGTTTGGAATCGTCACGTGCCCTGAAGCTCTGACTTCCTGGGCTGCTGCCAGCTGAGAACAGCACCAGCTTTTAAAGAGCTGTGTAATTAGGTCGGCTCCACTGGCTAATCTCCCTTTGCTGTGCAAGGTAACGTGATGACAGTGTGACCTCTCATCCTGTTCAGAGTCCCCTAACCTCAAGGGGTAAAGGTTAGGCCAGGGTGAGGGCCCTGGAGCCCATGTTCGAATCCCACCTACTACCTATGAAAGGGTCCTTTTTTGTTGGGTAATACACATGAAGTATTTAGGAATAAAGGGACATGCAAACAATTTACTCTCAAATGGTTCAGAAAAATATTGTAGCTATACGTATAGACCCAGCAGGAGAGCGTGCCTGTGAGCTCACAAGCATGCTGGAACACATGGGGCAGAATGTCAATGATTGGAGTTCCTTGTGTTATTCAATCTTTTCTGTAAATTTGAAATTATATCAGAGATTTACCAAAAGGAAAATGTAGGAAACAAAAGCCCCGTCTCTGTGTAGTAGTAGAAAATCTGGACTTCATTTAACACTCAATTCTTGCCTTTCCCTCCTCAACCTGCTGCGGCTGTAGAATCTGGACCCATGCCATAGGAAGAAAGGGGCTCCTCTTCTCCCACCCCCTGCTGGTTTCAGAATTTCTGACTCATCCTCAGTGGGAATGGCGTTGGTGGGTGGGAGAGGTATAAGAAAGGTTTCATTTGACATGTAATCTGACACCAGCTACTTAGAGCTGTAGTCCTTTAAAGCTGGTTCTCTTCTTTGGGTGTTTGTGGGTTCTGCAGTACCCCCAACAGGCACTGAGACCCTCTCGCTTGCAGTTGCCTGGACATGGGTGAATGTCTGCCCTGGCAGCCTGTCTATATAGGCGCCTTCACAGGGGAGTATCACACTGGTAGCCAACCGTCACGGGCAGGCCCCACAGACAACGCCAGGCCTCTTCTCATTCCCCATGTGGCCCACATCTGAACCATAGAAGCACTTCCAGACCCTGTGCTCTCCCAGACCTGGGATTGTAGGCCTTTCTCGACATGGCCACCTCCAAGGCACCCCATGGCTACCTTAGTCTTATCCAAGGCTGGACTCGTGGCCATTCACGGCTCCCAGAGATACAGGTCAGGTTAAGGGAAAGGGCGCACCCACCACTCCCCACAGTCAGAGAGGCTCACAATATCCTTGACAATGCTTTCCAGAAACATCCCTGGTGCCCAACTTCCTGGCTCCTTCAGTCTCAGCTCTGTGACTCCTCTCGATGGGCGCAGGCTGGAGCCACAGCCCCTGGCCCTCAGCCATTCTCTTTCCAGGTCATGTGTCCGTGTCTGGCTTTGGAATGAGGAAGAGCTGGCTCCTGCTCTGGGGGCTTTCAGCCGGAGCAGGCAGCCGGAATCACACTTTCATATCCTGTGGCTTATGTTTATTGTATTCCTGATTTATTGATTTTAGATATTCTCTATTGATTCCTACTGTGGAAGATGGAGATACGGCCCTGTTACATCACCTGGGCCCCCGCTTCTCTTCCCTCCATCCTCTCAGAACAGGTACATCACACTTTGTTGGTTACATTGGTATAAATTATTTGCCCAGTTATGATTATGTGTGATTTACTGCTGAACAAGGTGGTGTATTGTGATGGTGTTGCCTTCATTGTCGGACTCTTCCCCCTCGAATTGGAAAATTTTTTCTTCTTTTTCATTTTTCTCACTTTCTTTACCCTCATCAGTTCTTCCCAGACTGTCCAGTGGAATTATAAAACTCCTCCGAAGAGTCTTTTCCACGTGACGGGACATCCTGTGATCTCTCCATTTCATTCTTTCTCTGGAGACTTCGCTCCGGGGCCTTCTCCTCCCCTGCTCTGTCTGACCCAGGCAGCTGTTAGGCCTGCGGCACACCTGTGGTCTGAGATGTGCCTTTGTCTCTCCCCCATTTCCCGAGTCTGTCTCTTCTTTTGTGGTTGACGTCTTCATCTTCTTAGTGTACATCCTCCAGTGGCTTCCTAAGGAAGGGTGCAGGGGAGGCCTTCTTTCTGTGACGCATCCTGTCTAAAAACATCATATTCTTCCCTCATGATTCAGTGATAACTTGTTTGGGCATATAGGATTCTAGGTTGGAAATACTTTTCCTCAGCATTTTGAAAGCATTGCCCTTTTAGGTTTTACTGGTGCTATTGAGAGGTCTAGTGCCTTCTTATTCCAGAATCTTTGAACATGACATATTTGTTCTACTCTGAAAGCTTTTGAAATTGATTTCAATTTTCTCAAATTTTTAATGATATGCCTTGATGTTTTATATAAAGTGTGTTTTTAATCTTTTTTTTTGGGTATCTGGTGTTTCCCTTCCATGTGGAAACTGGTCTTTCCCTGTTTGGGAAAATTTTCTTGTATGATTTCTTCCTATTTTCTCTTTTCTTTCTTCCAGAAATTCCTTCCTATTAGTTTGATATTGGACTTCCTGGATTGAGTCTCTGGTTTTCTGTTTGTGTCTTTTTCTCCTATTTTCTGCTTTTATCTTTTTTATACTACTTTCTTGGACATTTCCTCCATTTTATTTTCTAACAATGCTATTTTTTTTATTCTATTGGGTTTTTTAGTTGCTAAACACTGTTATTTCCTCTTTCATGAATGGCTATCATGAGTTTTCTTTCTAGGAATATTAATTCTCATTATTTTGAAGTTTTGTTTTGCTTCCTGCTGTATTTCAAGTTTTTCCAAATCTTTTCCTACTTGTTTTGGTTTCTCTCTTTCATGTTAGAGGCTTTTCTTAAATAATTATCTCTCGGTTCATTCCTGTGTACGAGTAAGCCTTAGAAACGGACTGGAAGCCCTGTGCATGGCTGCAGACCTGTGCATGGCTGGGAAGCATCAAGAGTAGGTTTCACTTTTCACTGTAGGATGACCAGTTCTTCTTACTGAAGAACCCACAAAAGTCAGTGTCCATAGATCTTTTGAGGGGAGAGGGAAGGGCAATTCCATTTTTCCAAAGAAAACGCTTCCCGTCTCCTGTTTGGAGGGTATGATAAGCCCAGCCAACATTCTTGGAGTCGAGCAGTGCACCCCTTGGTCCATAGACATGACTCGATCTCCCTGCTTTCAGTACCGCACCACCCCTTCACCTTTCTGTGTACGTGGTATATGGGGTCTGGAGCCTTTCTGGATAAGTTTTTCTGTAGGCCAAACCTCTGTTCTCCTCTGGGGTGTGGTGGTGGTGTTTCCTGGTTTCCCGGAATAGGTGAGAGGACCTGGGATTGATCAGATCTCTGTCAGATTTGAGCCAGTCCACTGCTCCCACCCATTCCCCATCCACCACGTTCTCCCATACCTGTTGCCTGCAGTTTCTGAATCTTTCTGGGATTCTCTGGTACCAACCAGCTTGCTTCTCCTTGTTAACCCCTCTGCAGGCATTTGGTGTTCAGCTCTGTTTGTTTCTCTTTCTTTTGTCTCCTTCCCTTCCAAAAATGGACTTGCATTCCTAATCCAATTTATCTTGGGCTTATACCTCATTTTGTTATTTTTATTCCTTTGCCCTCATTTTAGAGATATTTTAAGAAGGATATATGTTCAATTTAACACACTTTAGTAATTTACTTATTTATATTTTTATTAGTAGTAAATATGTAGATATTGACACACACATATATGTATCATTATATATATAAGTATATTCAAGCGATCCAAAGATGAGTAGTGGAAACCAATCTCCCTTTTCCTTTGTCCTTCACTTCCTCCCCAGGAGCACCCACAGGCCCAGTTGCTTGTGTGGCTCTCCACAGAAAGTTTATGCACACATTCACATAGACACACACAAAAGCATGATGTAGATAGTGATGGATTTTATTTTCAATAGAGGAAATGGTTTATCTGCATACCCCTGAACAATATTCCTATTTTAAGTAAAGGTTAGTGCTTAATCCAAAGACACAAATCTCCTTTAGTCAGATTTCAGGCTCCATTGCAGGTGGTAGGTATTTCAGGGGGCCCTCCAAGTGCCCCTTTCAAAAACCCATGTAGTTGGTCACCTTCACAAAGGCCAGCTGTGGGGGCAGAGGGGCACACGCATGGGCCAGCTGTGGGGGCAGAGGGGCACACGCATGGGCCAGCTGTGGGGGCAGAGGGGCACACGCGTGGGCCAGCTGTGGGGGCAGAGGGGCACACGCGTGGGCCAGCTGTGGGGGCAGAGGGGCACACGCGTGGGCCAGCTGTGGGGGCAGAGGGGCACACGCGTGGGCCAGCTGTGGGGGCAGAGGGGCACACGCGTGGGCCAGCTGTGGGTGGCACCTTCCACTTCTCATATGGCTGCTGTTTCCCCCTGCCTCTCTCTCCTGCTTAGTCCCTATGTTTCTTCCTGTTTCCACCCTTCCCCCTCTGGTGTGTATGGCTGGCCCATGGATCTGAGGAAGCCCTATCCTAGCTGAGGGCTGCCCCTCCCCTTACTGCCTCTTTGGCACTCTGGGTTTGCGCTCAGCCTGCCCCTGGCCGACTAGACTTTATAAGGACAGAACCCAGAGACACCTCTGTGTACTTCAGGGACTGGGTCTAGCTTGAGGGGGCTACTCGATTTGGCCACAGCAGTGACATCAGCATGATTCTTCATCCTTACAACAGGACCTGCCGCTGCCAAGCCAGACTTGATCTCCAAACTGGAGCGGAGGGCTGCACCCTGGATCAAGGACCCAAATGGGCCAAAGTGGGGGAAAGGTCGTCCTCCAGGTGAGTGTAAACCTACAGCATTCTGAAGGACATGTGCCAGGGCCCAGGCGGCTATGATGAGTCAAACAGCATGAGCTCAGCTGTGCTCATCTGATGGGGGCCGATTGGGCACCAAGCCTGGCAGGAGGCCCTGGGTAGACAAGATGAATAAGCAACTAACCCTGCCCACAGAGTGTAGAGTAGTCTGGGAAACAGGGAAAAAACAGGTCCTTTTGTAAGCAGAAGTACTGATGGAGGCTGTGGCAGAGCTGGTGGGAGCAGGTACGTGGGGACACTGGTCTCGAGGAGCCAGGGGACCCAGAGATCTGTGAGCCTCTCATCCCTTCTCCCTCCTTCTCCAGTGCTCGGTGACAGCACTATTGGTTTGTGAGAATTCGTTGTCTTGCCTATCTCAATCAGTAATTTCTTGGCTTGTAGTTGCTACACTTACTTCTGTACCTACTTCCTTCTGAGGCTTGTAAAAGCCTTGGCAGGTGTTTAACCTATTCTATTGTGGAGCCTCACACGAGAGTGAAAGCCACCTGCTTATCCAACAGTCTCTGTGGCCAAGGGGGTTAATTGAACTTATTGGTATCTGGTGTCACATGATCCCAGGGTAGCTGTGTGGATAGGGTGGTTGGGGCGCTGGTGAAAGAACCCACAAGGATTAGCAACAACTCTGGGGGAGCCAGATGAACTTTCACAGATGAGAATGGGTGAGGGTTTAAGTGGACGCCACTTTCTCTAGAAAGAAGGATTGCATTCATCTTCTCTGCCTTGCTTAAGGGATACTTATTAAATTTGGGGGTGTCTTAGCTGATAGAAGATGGCAGAGTTCTGGGTAGCAGAACCAAGCATGATTCAATTTTCTCCAAAGGGAACAAGAAGATGGTGGCAGTGAGAGAGGCAGACACACAGGCCTCGGCTGCAGACTCCGCGTTGCTTCCAGGCTCTCCCGTGGAGGCCCGTGCCTCCTGCTGCAGTTCCAGCATTTGTGAGGAAGGAGATGGACCTAGGAGAATCAAGAGGACATACAGGCCCCGTTCCATTCAGAGGTCATGGTTTGGGCAGTTCCCATGGTTAGTAATTGACCCCAAAGAGACCAAACTCTTCTGCTCAGCCTGCATAGAAAGACCTAATCTCCATGATAAATCATCTCGGTTAGTCAGAGGTTACACGGGGCCTTTTAAAGTGGAGACTTTAAAATACCATGAAGTCAGCAAAGCGCACAGGCTCTGTGTCAACACGGTTGAAATCAAGGAAGACACCCCTCACACTGCCCTCGTTCCAGAGATCTCCAGCGACCTCATGGCCAACATGGAGCACTTTTTCAATGCCGCCTACTCCATTGCATACCACTCAAGGCCCCTGAATGACTTTGAGAAGATCCTGCAGCTCCTCCAAAGCACGGGGACCGTGATATTAGGCAAGTACCGCAATCGCACGGCGTGCACTCAGTTCATCAAGTACATCTCAGAGACCCTGAAGAGGGAGATCCTGGAGGACGTGCGGAACTCGCCCTGTGTGAGCGTGCTGCTGGACAGCTCCACCGACGCCTCCGAGCAGGCCTGCGTGGGGATTTACATCCGCTACTTCAAGCAGATGGAGGTGAAAGAGTCCTACATCACTCTGGCCCCTCTCTACAGTGAGACAGCAGATGGGTACTTCGAGACCATCGTTTCTGCCCTGGATGAGCTGGACATCCCCTTCCGGAAGCCTGGCTGGGTGGTGGGGCTGGGGACGGATGGCTCAGCCATGTTGAGCTGCAGAGGAGGCCTTGTGGAAAAGTTCCAGGAGGTCATCCCGCAGCTGCTGCCTGTCCACTGCGTGGCCCACCGGCTGCACCTGGCTGTGGTGGACGCCTGCGGGAGCATCGATCTGGTGAAGAAGTGTGACCGGCACATCCGCACCGTCTTCAAGTTTTATCAGTCCTCAAACAAGAGGCTGAACGAGCTGCAGGAAGGTGCGGCGCCTCTGGAGCAGGAGATCATCCGCCTGAAGGATCTGAATGCGGTCCGCTGGGTGGCCAGCAGGAGGCGCACGCTGCACGCGCTGCTCGTGAGCTGGCCCGCCCTGGCCAGGCACCTCCAGAGGGTGGCAGAGGCTGGGGGCCAGATTGGGCACCGGGCCAAAGGGATGCTGAAGCTCATGCGCGGCTTCCACTTTGTCAAGTTCTGCCACTTCCTGTTGGACTTCCTGAGCATCTACAGGCCTCTGTCCGAGGTGTGCCAGAAGGAGATCGTGCTGATTACAGAGGTGAACGCCACGCTGGGCCGCGCCTACGTGGCACTGGAGAGCCTCCGTCACCAGGCAGGGCCCAAAGAGGAAGAATTCAACGCCAGCTTCAAGGATGGGCGGCTCCACGGCATCTGCTTGGACAAACTGGAGGTAGCGGAACAGCGGTTCCAGGCGGATAGGGAGAGGACAGTCCTGACGGGGATTGAGTACCTCCAGCAGAGGTTTGACGCAGACCGACCCCCACAGCTGAAGAACATGGAGGTGTTTGACACCATGGCCTGGCCAAGTGGGATTGAACTTGCCAGTTTTGGGAATGATGACATTCTCAACCTGGCCAGGTATTTCGAGTGCTCCCTCCCAACAGGATACAGTGAGGAAGCTCTGCTGGAGGAGTGGCTGGGCCTGAAAACCATTGCCCAGCACCTCCCGTTCTCCATGCTCTGCAAAAACGCCCTGGCCCAGCACTGCCGCTTCCCCCTGCTAAGCAAGCTCATGGCCGTGGTGGTCTGTGTGCCCATCTCCACCTCTTGCTGTGAGCGGGGGTTCAAGGCCATGAACCGAATCAGGACCGATGAGAGGACCAAGCTCTCCAACGAGGTGCTCAACATGCTCATGATGACAGCTGTGAACGGCGTGGCCGTCACGGAGTACGACCCCCAGCCCGCCATCCAGCACTGGTACCTGACCTCCTCAGGCCGGCGTTTCAGCCATGTCTACACCTGTGCCCAGGTGCCAGCCCGCTCCCCTGCAAGTAAGTACACGTGGCAGAGCTCCCCCAAGGCAGCCTCATGCTGAGCCAGAGGCCAATAAGACAGGACTGCAGGTGCCTGTGGAGCTTCTGTCATGCACCCACCCATTTGCTAGGCCAGTGGGTACTCGATGCGTGACATCCACCCTCCAGGAGCTTGCACCCCTGCCAGGGAGATGACGCACATGTGCTCTAGGCAGCAGGGCTTAGTGCAGAGAGCGTGCATTTCTAGAGCCTGTCTGCCCTGGTGACAGTGCTGTGCTGGCTCTGCCCCCAACTGGCTGTGTGGCCTTGGGCAAGTCTGTCCTTTGATGCCTTGGTTTCTCATCTGCCGAATGAGTTGTGTGTGGAAAACACTCAGGACAATGCCTGGCAGGTGGTGCAAATGGTACTAGTTAAAGGTCAAGACCACTGCTGGGAGTAAGGAGAGGGCTGACCAGCCCCAGGCAGCGCCATCACATTCTAAGTGGGGCTGTATAGACTCTGGACCGTGCAGGAATTTTCAAGAGGGAAGAGGTCCATGTGGCTGTGGAGGAGGTGAGATGCGGAGGAGATGGTGGGGCTTTCAGGCAGAAATCTCACGGGGCAGGGGAGAACAGAAACAGCCTCTCTGGACCGGAGGGCTGGGGTCAAGAACTTGCTTGAGGGGGAAGCTGTATTAGAAGGGAGGGCAAGTTACTGAAAGCCACAGACAGGAAATTTTTCTCTTCAAGTAGTCACTGAAAACCAAAGAAAATATGCCCATTGTTGGGGTTCTCCAGACCACTCGCGACCACTTGACAAGGATGGAGCAGTGCTCTCTCTCCTCGCGTCTCTAGCTGGCCTCCTTCCGGCTGTTGCTGCTCCCAGTGCTCTCTCTCCTCGCGTCTCTAGCTGGCCTCCTTCCGGCTGTTGCTGCTCCCAGTTTTCACCTCTGAGTCTGTGGTCACCAGAAATGGGACTGGATCTCATGGCTGACAGAGGCTCTGTAGGAAGCAAGGTGGCCCTGAAGCCACAGTAGGGCAGGTGGGGATAAGAAAAGAGACCCCTCACTGATAAGAGAAAGGGAAAGCCGAGAGAGGGCTGGGTGAGTTGCTCTGTGTCCAGCCCTGTGGGTGCTAAGGAGAAAAAAATGATGTCAGGTGTGCCCTGATGCGAGTTACTCTTTCCACAGGGACAACAGGACCAGCACAGATTGGTCCAAACACTGCCAAACTACGCACCGCTGCCTCCTTCCAGGCAGGGCTCTCAGCCTTGGCATTGTTGATGCTGGGGCTGGGTAATCTCTGTTGGGGGCCCTTCCTGTTCACTGTGGGAACTTGAGCAGCATCCATGGCCTCTACCTATTAGATAACCACTGGATACCAGTAGCACACACCCCATTTGTGACCACAAAAATCATCTCCAGACATTGGCAAATGGCCCCTGGGGGACAAAATCGCCCCCAGTTGAGATCCCCTATCTCAGGATAAAAGAATGAACAGAGTAGCAACAGATGAGGGCTGCAAAGAGCAGTCGTGGTCCTGACTTCAGTCTGTTCTGCCAAGCTTTCCTCACCAAACAGCCCCTGGGCGAAGCTGGATGTGGAAGGCGGTCACTGTCAGTCAGTCTAATTGTATTCTCCTTCCTCCCTCACAGGCGCCAGGCTCAGGAAGGAGGAGATGGGAGCCCTCTATGTGGAGGAGCCCAGGACCCAGAAGCCACCCATCCTGCCCTCCAGGGAAGCAGCGGAGGTTCTGAAGGACTGCATCATGGAGCCTCCCGAGAGACTCCTGTATCCCCACACCAGCCAGGAGGCCCCCGGGATGTCCTGAGGGACAGGGAGTCCTTGGGACTGCCTTGGAGACGCCTCTGTGATCACTGGGACAGGCTCTGCAGATTCTAGGCTGCCCTAGGATCTTCTGCTGGTGGCGATGGTCTCTAAGCACCAGGAAGTGGGCAGTGGCATCCCAGAGCAGCAGGGGTATCAGGAGGTGCATGACCTGTTTCCTGAGGCCCCACTCAGCACAGCCATGCCTCACAGCACACAAATGTGCCAGAAGGTTCTATATCTCAAGTTCATTTTTAAGGTGCTGCAGAAAATAACCCCATCATGAAAGGTTTCAGCCCCTGAGTTTTGGTGGCAAGAGGAGTGTCCTGGTAGGGGAGACTGTTGGACATCCCTGGGGAATGTTCCAGGGAGGCTGCCCACAGTCTAAGTGGGAATGGGAAAGACCACCTTGTTAGAGGGGGAGGTTGCCCCTGCTCTAGGGACAGCTGGCCTGGCTGCAAGAGCCCCCAGAGGCATTGTTCTGGGACTTCCTACCCTGGCTCCCACAGCAGAAGCAGTGAGGCCGTGGTCTCGTGCGGAACTCTACCTCTTCCCAGGGCTTCCTTTAGGGCGAAACAATCACAAGCCCTTTGCACAGAGCACCCAAGAAAGTTCTCTTCCTGCAGCTCCAGATGGTGGAGCTGGGCTCTTCTGGCAGGGGGTCTGGTGCTTCCCGGAGAG
Organism: Homo sapiens; assembly: GCF_000001405.40. NCBI lineage: Eukaryota > Metazoa > Chordata > Mammalia > Primates > Hominidae > Homo > Homo sapiens. The sequence continues at coordinate 149,864,962 of NC_000007.14, forward strand.
CCGAGCCGCGTTTAACCCGTGGCATGCCCGGCCCGGTTTACCCAGGAGAGGATGGGACGAAGTTGGAGTTGGGAGGCTTGGGATGCAGCCCCAGCTCTGCTGCAGGCAGTGGTCTGATTAATCCCTTCCTCTTTGTGCCTCAGTTTCCCTCTCCATGAAGTGGCAGCAGAGATCCAAGTGCCTGCTGACTCCCCATCTGCCCTAGGATTAGTGAATGAGAGCCTCGAGCTCCCTCAAAGACCTCTGGCTGCAGTGTGGACTTAGCTGCCATCTGCCCCATCCTCGTCCTTAGTGGGACAGGTAGGAATTTGTCTCCAAAGTCCTTGTTGTAGGAGTTGCTCTCTGAATGCACCATCTGCACGACAGGCTAGTCCACTCTTCTCTGAGCTGCCCTGGGGACTCTGCACCAGGATCTCCAGGGCCCACTGAGACATCCCCGAATGGGCGCTCAGTGACAAGGGCTTTGAACAACCTCCTCCAGGGACTTTGGGCCTGCTCTAGCTTCAGAACCACAGAACCACCGCCCTAGAGGCACAGAGGGGCTTCTGGCACTGCTAGGTTCACACCCTCCTCGCCCCGATCTTCCTTCCACCTAAAGTGAAGCACTTTTCCTTCCAAGGGCAGCTCCGTCTTGGCAGGCTCAGGAGGCCGCTTATCAGGAGGAGGATGATTTTGTCTAGGTTCTGCCTTCCTTAACCATGGGCAGGAAATGAGGCAAGTCAGCAGGCAGGGTTTCTCTGCCCTGCCTGATACTTGTTTTAAACAGGCAGGAAGTGGGCGCCATCCATCCCAGCTTGCTTGCTGCCTGGCTCAGGCAGGTCCTGTGCTGTGCTGCAGGCCCCTGTGGGTGGGCCCTTTCTCCATAGTCTGCCGCTTCCCATTCCCAGGGTAGATGCTGGCATCTGAGCACCTGAGTACCCTTCCTATTCCCAGGGTAGAAGCTGCTGTCTGAGTACCCTTCCCATTCCCAGGGTAGATGCTGGCATCTGAGCACCTGAGTACCCTTCCTATTCCCAGGGTAGAAGCTGCTGTCTGAGTACCCTTCCCATTCCCAGGGTAGATGCTGGCGTCCGAGCCCCTCCCTGGTACCGCAGGTACCCTGGTACCCCACCTGCCCTTTCATCCCCACCCCAGTACTTAGCCTTAGCACTGTTGCTTTCGTGTCATTTTCAGTTCTAGTCAGGAATTCCTTTCTTGCTTTCTGCCTTTGACCTGTGGAAATGTCTCCCAGCCCTGTGGGTCTGGCGGTCAGAGGGACCCCACAGGCCTGTGGTGCGGGAGCTCTGGGAGGTGTTACTATCTGCGTGGCTAAGGCACACACAGGCCTCCTTCTCCCCATCACCGTCTCCATGGGCGTTCAGGAACTTGCCCAGGTCAGGCACTGTGGATGTGAACTCGTGGAAAGGGAGGGAGAAAGGCTTTTTTAGGTGGGGCTATAGCCTCTGCCCTACCCACAGGGATTCCACATCAAGGTGCTGTTCCAGCACACATGCTTCCTGCGGCCTCTTCATCCTTGAAGAATCCCTCAGAGCAGGAGGCCATCCTGTGAGCAGCCGTGAGTGGGTCTCTGTGGGAGTAGTTCTGGAGCTGAGGTGGAAGCTAGGGGAAGCAACTCGCCCTCTCCACGTCAGCATCAGCGTGCTCCGAGGACACCGGCCAGTGCCTTCCTTAGGTGGTGGGAAAGGGGGGTCCCTGTGCAGCGGGGCCACTGAGAATGCTGTTTGTCATAAAATTTGCACTACCCGATTTCTCAAGGGGCACAGGCCTGCTCCGTTCCCCTTTGTCAGCCAATGGCCAAGAAGGAAGAAGATGACTGCCATCTTATTCCTGAACTTCCTCATTCAGGACCCCCGTGGAAACACAGTGAGCATCCTTATCAGAGGCCCTGGCCCAGGCTGGCCCCTTTGCTTTGTTTGGAGAGGCTGGCTGAGTTTCAGCCCCTAGTGCTGGAGACCCCCTTGTTGGAGAGGCTTCCTGTTTATGCCTCACAAGAAGAAAAACCACAGGGCTCTGGGAGGGGAAGAAGCATGCACTCCCGCTTTGGCTGGAGTCCCAGCGCTTGTCGCCACCCTCCTCCTTGCCTGTAGTCTTGACAGCATCCGTATGTACGTGTCCTGGCATTTCCCCTCCCTCTCCCTGATGACTGATACCCACCGGGTCTGACATTCCAAGTAACCAGTATGTAACTGGTAGTTTGATCCCAATAGCCATAGCGACTCCAGGTGGGAGTGAGGGAGCCCAGCCCCCTGTCCTGGAAGATACCTTAGAGTATGTGACCGCGCTCCAGACCCTTGCTTCTCTCTCCTGCAGAGGATGAGTTTCTAGGGTGCTAAGTACCTATCAGAACAGTGTGGAGGGGCGGGTCCCTCATACAGGTGTGTGCTTAGCCAAATACAGTAACTGTGACTGGCCCAGGGATGTTCTCTCCTCTATTTTCAAAGATGAAAGGAGGTTTTAAAAACCATGTTTGATTCCTAACCTTTTGCTACCTGAATAAAGCAGAGTCTATTTCAACACATCTCTGTCTTGTGTGTCCCTAAGCGAGGACCAGGAGCTCAGAGAAGCTGACAGAACGAGCTCTGCTCTCACTCACGAGGGGACAGGGCCAGGAACAGAGGTGGGCAGGGGAAGTGCCTGTGTATTCACCTGATTTTTGTCTTTCAGTTTCTTTCCTCTCTAGTCCTTCAAAGTGAGCTCAATCATTTTTGCCAGTTAGAAGGTAAAGATGAGAGTTGGCTGTTTGGTGAGTTATAATTAAGGGCTTGGCTGCCTTTTCTGGAGTACTGCATAGTTTACAAAGTGCTTTCACATACATGATCTAATTTGGTTTACTGAACTTAGAAAGGTAGACTTTCAAGGAAAAAACATCGATTTCCACCAATAGTAAAAGCTACTGCATCAGACCTGTCACTCAACAGCGCTCCTTGAGGCCTAGCTCCTGAGATCCCTCTGGCGAGCCCTTGCGGCTCCACATCCTCGGGACGGCACGCTCCCACGGGACTGGAGCAAAGGTTTCAGAGACTCGGGATACAGCCAGATCTCTTCGGTGAGGAGACTCAGTCTTACTCGAGTGTATGTGATTTTTAAAAAAGACATTGAAACAACTATGGAAACAGAGGCAAAGGCAGCAAGGCTTTGGGTTTGCGACTGGGAATCCGTGCGGCCTCCCTTTGGTGAAGACCTGACCCCGTGGTGGGGGTGAACAGGGTTTCCTTGACCCCGTCCCAGGGTTCCCTTCAGGACAGATGGATTTCACTAGGGGAAGCGTGATGCTGGTAGCCTCCACTCTCAGGCTGGGCAGGGTAGGCTCCCAGGGAGGCAGCTCCCAGCGCAGCCTCTTCCATCACTCCGGCTGGAGCTAGAAGGAGAGAAGTGAGCTGAGGCTCTAGAAAGTGCTGCACTCCTGCCTTTCTTTTTCCCAAGGGTGCTCTTGACATCTGGAGTGCAGTCAGCAGGCCTTTCCGAGTGGGCTGGCTGCCTCAGATGCCTCAGTCCCTGTTGCTGGGGATGCTTCGGTGGGGCCTCCTCACTGTGGGCCTTCTCTTGGGTCAGTGTGATCCTCGTGTCCCTTCCCTGTGCCAGCGACACTCGTGGGCTTCACGTGGCTGGCCCCTGCTCCCAGGGCTCTTGAGATGCTGCCTCTGACTGCAGCTCCTGCCACACTGGCACCTGTGTGGCCGCTGCTCCCCTCTGCACCTGGGAATAGCTGCCCAGAGACTTCCTGTTTTGAACCTTTTGCCTTGCTCAGGCAGCCAGCAAGGGCCCTGGCACTCACAACAGAAGGGCCCTGCAGTGCTGCGGCTCTGCTGGCGGGCCAGGACAAGCTGTGGGGCGCAGACACACTGGGCACACTCCAGACAGGCACAGGGCCTCTGGGCAGTGAGTTTGCAAGTGTTTTGTGGTCCTGGATCATGCACAGGCTTCTTGGCAGCCAGGAGAGGCTGTCTCTGCATTTAGTGTGCACACCTGAAAGAGCGGCCCCTCACCCACTAGGCAGTGTCCTCCCACATCCCCAGGAGGGTCTTCCTGTGCCATCTGAGGTCCACTTAGTGGAAAGCCTTTGCCACACCAGGACACTTTCAGGACTACTCCCCCACGTGGCTGTGCTCATGGTGGCCAGGGCTATATGGCTCTTGAAGCTCTCCACACACTTGGCACAGATGGATGGCTTTTCCAGTGGAATCAAAAGGACTCAGGCATTCTGAGGCCAGTCTGGCCTTGGGGTTTTTCAGCTTCCCAGAAGCCTGCAGAATCGTTCTGGGGGGTTCCCAGTTGCCTCCAGAATCATCTTCAGTCTTGTTTCTGACTGTGTTACCAAATACTGTGGAAGAAACTCAGATGTTAGCCTAGTGATGGGGACACACTTCTTTTGTTCAGTGTGACCTGCTCAGCCTCTAGCCCCCAGCCCCAGCGAGATGACGGATAAGGCAGCGTCCTGTGGATGCCAGAGCCGGGGCCAAGTGTGGGTCAGCATCCCAGCTCAGAGGAGCGGCCCAGTTTGTCTGAGAACACTGAAGTCCCAGAGCCCTGGGGAGGGGCTTCTGACCAGCACTCCTCCTGCTCTCATTCCAACACACACAAAGGGAATGTCCTGGTCCAGGGAGCCAGGGCTCTCTTGCTGCCATGTGAATAATTCCCTGTAGCAGCCACTGCTAGACAGCAAGCTTGGGAAGCCTTCTTATGCAGAAATCAAAGTCATTTTTATAAAAAGTGTCACAGAGTCCCTTATGAAGACAGCTGGACAGAGCAGGAGCCGACCCTTCCCTGACTGCCCAGTTCAGTGAGCCCGGTAAAATATCTGCCGTCAGCAGCCTGCCATGAGGTGCAGTGAGGACCTTCTACTTCATCCCTCCAAGCTGAGTCGTATCATAAAATGCATACTTTATGTTCCTTCTGCCTGTAGAGAATCAGAAAGCACATGATGGAGGTTTCAGAAAAGGGCTTGTGAGATCGAGCATGTCAGAGCTGAAGATCTGTGTCTGTGAGACATGTCCTCCTGAAAGAGCACACATGAGCTGACATAGCCACGGCGCCGGATTGCCCTCACCCTGATTGTCCCATCAGTGTAGCTTGTCTCAAGAGGTTTACACTGTGGCTGTGTTTCTCACAGGTTACCCAAACTCCTATCATAAAGGCAGGAAACAGAAGTAAAAAACCTGAATCCAAACCACAGGAAGTGCTGCGGAGATACTGATTCGTGGGTTGATCAGAGCCCAGGAGGCACTAAAGGCTCAATGAACATGGTGATCTTTGTGCAAGAGATGTTCCATCAAGGCTTACCTGGCTGGGTGGTAGCTTTTTGGCCTCTGTTGGGGGCTGGGAATCCTTCACCCAAAGCTCATGTTCCCTTTCAAGTCTACAAGTGATCTCTGGTTTGGCAGCAGCATGCACTGTAGGGAGAAAGACAGCCCAGTGCCCCTCAACCCACACTGAGCGCACATAGACCCGTGTCAGTCCTGAAGCCTGACTTGCACCACCCATTTAATGCCCTGGGCTCACCCTATCAATTTGGGACAGCGGGGGTAGGTTGTAAACCTAAGAGAGCTCCAGAAGTAGGCAGGGCCTGGCATACAGGTAGGGATGTTTATTTCAGGGCAACTTCAGGAGTGCCAAGGGCTGATAAAACAGTGCAATTGTCATAATATGTTTTCCCACTGCCAGGGCCCTTGAAGGAGAAACAGGCTCAACTAGTCACAGAGACAACCATGCTCTGGGTCTAGTTCTCCCTGACCCCACAGGCCAGGAGTGCCCCTATTAGATGGCAAGCAAGCAAGGGGCCAAGGTCCTCACCCAGCAAGACTCCCAGCTCCTAATTCCTTCTTATCACATCCTGGTATAATTCCTTCTACTCATGGCCACCAGAACAATGGGTGGAAGGTAGGTGGTTACATCATTAAATGTCACAGGCCTTATTTGCAAAGACAGAGACATCTGGAGCTGTTGTTCTCACCTCCGACACGTGCCCCGTCTGCAGAGAGCATTAGGATGCATCTGTGGCTCTGAGGTGTGATTTCCTAGGGCCTTCAAGTGTCCTGGGGCTCCTGTTCATTTGCACTGGGGGACACTCAGGGAAGTTTTAAAGAGCCTCTTTCAGTGGCTCCTTCTCCTTCTACCCTTTCTAGGAATTCATCAGCCCCATGAAAAGATGAACGATAGAGATGTCACCAACATCAGGACCCCACTCCCTGGGAGATGTCATGGAAACTTGTCAATCACACCCAAAGCACTCACTGAGGAGCCATGGCAGAGCAGTCGGTGGCGCCAATACCAACCAGAAGCCGCCAGGGCAGAGGGGAACCGTGAAGCCAGTGGAATGCACAGCTCCACCTCAGGGGACCGGGGTAGGCGGGGCTGTGTCTGGTAACATGCCCTTTGCCTCACATTAGTGCCTCTGAAAATAGTGTCCTCAGCCTGGGCACAAACCCTAGGGGTGAGCTGGGAGTGTGGAGGAGACGCTGGATTAGGGAGAAGTCTCGGCCATGTGTTCTGGCTCTTTTACTGATGAGCTGTGTGGGCCTAGGCAAGTTACTTCACTTCTCTGGGCCTCAGTTTTATCACCTGTAAAGTGATAGGATTGCCTTAGCCTCTAAGATCCCTTTCAGCTAAAAACAAAGTTCTAGAAAATAAATATGTGGTACTGTGGAACTCTGGGGAGCTGTTTGATCAGGTGAACAGTTTACCCATGGAAATGGGGCTCCAGCACAAAGCTGCTCACATCTTCCAGTCACGCTCCAGGGAACAGCCAGGGCTTGTGGGCCCAGATGAGGCTTTAGTGGTTGGAGAAGGAGCCAGTTCCTGGTTTTAATCCCTTCATGGACCTCAGACCATCACAAAGCTGCCAAACAAATGACACAGGCAATCACATGCAAATTAGGACAGAAATGAAACATCAAAGACATTAAAGGAAAAGAGTAAGAGCTGCAGGCTGCTAATATGAGTGGCTGCTCAGACTCAGCAATGTTTTTGGTTCTGGCCAAAGCCAAGACAAAGGAGCAGAGGCAAAGAAGGAAATACATTTCACTTTACAGCTGTCATTTTCTACAGAGGATTTTTTTTTTTCCAGAACAAAATTCAAAAAGTCCGTCTTTTTTGAGCTATAGAACTTTCGTGGTGATTTTTTTTTTTTTTTTTTTTTTGAGACGGAGTCTCACTCTGTCCCCCAGGCTGGAGTGCAGGGGCACAATCTCGGCTCACTGCAAGTGCAAGCTCTGCCTCCCGGGTTCACGCCATTCTCCTTTCAGCCTCCAAAGTAGCTAGGACTACAGGTGCCCGCCACCATGCCCAGCTAATTTTTTTATATTTTTAGTAGAGACGGGGTTTCACCGTGTTAGCCAGGATGGTCTCGATCTCCTGACCTCGTGATCCGCCCGCCTCTGCCTCCCATAGTGCTGGGATTACAGGTGTGAGCCACTGCGCTCAGCCCTCGTGGTGATTTTTTGAAGGCCTGTATGGACATACTCTTAACTCTATCTCCTGGATGCCAAGTGCACCCTTATCCTAGGCCAGTGTTCTCAACAATGTACACACTCTGGATGAGAAAAATAACCATTGTTTACAATCCAGCTAAAATCTCACCTCCTCCAGGGAGTCTTCCTGGATTTCTCCACCCTCTGAATTCTCATAATGGGCATTTGGCTACTTTGATCACAGGGCTCTTAGAACTGCGCTGTCCAGCATTATGATTTTACCAGAATATATCACTCCTCAACTACTTTAGAAACCCCTCGAAGGCTAGGATGGTATTTTATACCTAACAGTTTGGTGTCATCCCACGCCCACCTCCAACTTACATGAATGTTGGAAGGATGGATAGGGAGGTTTCAACTAGAGAACGGAGAAGGGCGGATGTAACTGGTTCTTGATTTCAGAAAACAGCCAGGAGCACACATGGCTGACGGGGTCAGTGCAAGGACAGGCACATTTCCCTTCTGCATCACGTGGGGACTGCGCCTCCCTATGTCATGAAGCCAGGGAATATGTGTGGCCGGCCGCTTGGGGTAGCACTTGTTGCTAGAGATACCGCCTGGAGGCCACTGATCTGTAAAAGGGATCTCTACAGAAGATAGGGATTTTTGATCGCCAGAGAAGAAGGGATATGTGAGATCCAAACGCCGAAGGAGGAAAGCAGGCTCCGTGGTCTCTTCCAGCCCTGATGGAAGAAACTACCGAGCCTTATTATACTAGGTGCTTTCCACATGCCTATTCATTTAATCCTCCAGCAACCTTGTAAGAAGGGCCATCCCATTTTATATTTAAACAAACCTTAACTACTGACGCAAGGAGTCAAGGATCTAATCCCAAAGCCTCTGCCTGGTTCGCTGCAGATGGATGTCCGCGAGGACGCCAGCCCTCCGCCTCCCGCCGGGTCCCTGAACGCCGGCCCGGCCGGTCCAACCTCATTCCGCTTCCCGCCATCGAAACGCGAAGCCCCCGCCTTCCCCCAAACGTCTCAGCGCCGCTGGGGCCTTTCTGGCTGCGCCGCCTCCGACCCCAGGCCCCGGTCCGCGCCCGCCGCTCGCTAGTCCTGGGAGTGAGGAGAACGCGTGCTGAGGACCCGGCCAGAGGGACAGCGGGGACCGCCCTCCCGCTGCGTCTCTGAAAGCGAGGCCGTTCCTCCCGCGTCCGACCCCCGCGGGGCCGTCAGGTTCGGGGCGGCCCAGGCTGCGGGTCCGCAGGGCGCTTCGGGCCGAGCCGGCGCGGCGCGTGAAGGGCAGGGGACGCCCCGAAAGACCGCTGGGGTGGGACCCCAAGCTCCAGGGGTCTTTGGAAATAAGAATGCGGCGTGACGTTGGCTGTGCGGGCGCGGGGCTGACGCGGACCCTATAACCCATCGCCGAAACCGGGCGGCCGCGCCCCTATTCCTCGGCATTTCTCTCTGTCCGCGGCCCTGCTCAGCCAATCAGCGAGTGGGCTCCTAGGCAGGTCCTGAGTGACAGCGCGGCGGGCTGGATCAGGAGATGCGCGTGCGCGGCCCGGCCCGGCTGATCGCTTCGGGTGCTCGACTCCTGTTGCGCATGCTCAGCGCGCTGCCCGGCTGGGGACCCGCGCACCTGCAGCGCCCGCTGCTCGGCCCTGCATCCTGCCTGGGCATCCTGCGCCCGGCCATGACGGCGCACTCATTCGCCCTCCCGGTCATCATCTTCACCACGTTCTGGGGCCTCGTCGGCATCGCCGGGCCCTGGTTCGTGCCGAAGGGACCCAACCGCGGGTAAGGAAAGCGCGCAGGCCCTGCAGACCTCTCCACCCCGGCCCCCTGGCCCGGCTCGCCCCTCCGCCCCGGGGCGGCGGCTTCCTGCTCTGCAGCGAGCGTCCGCAGGAGGGACGCCAGGACCCCGGACGCCACCTCTGAGGTCTCTCTGCACCTGGGTCTCTGACAGCCGGGAACAGGCAGGAGGTGGGGCGAGAGGGCATATCCAGAAGGTAAAGAGGAGAGTGACATTGGAGATGTCTGTCACCCCTCCTGCAGCCAGTAAAGGGCACAAGTGGGCACTGACGCAGTTTCTCCACTCCTTGCTAGCTGTGTGACCTAGAGCCAATATCAAGTCTCAGTTTCTTCATGGGTAAAATGGAGATAATGTCGACTCCTGCCTTAAAAGGCTGCTGTGAGGATGACCTGCGGTAACGCATTTAAAACACCTACCAGTGCGTGACACTTTGTAGGTATGGGATAAGTTTAGCTGGCGTTATTTTTCGAAGGTCCTCTAGCAGATTGCTGCGCCATTCACCAGTTTCTGCTTCATATTATCTTCAGTTACAAAGCACCCTTCCCTTGACTGCATGTTCCCAGGGGCTGGAGTTTGTCCAGTTCACCATTGTCTACTCAGTGCCCAGCCAGGACTGGCACAACCTGCTTAGTAATGTTGAAAAAGGGATCGCGTGCTCCTGTGTCCAGCACCAGCTTGCAGTGCTTTAGATCAAAGATCAAGGGCCTCGTTTGGATTAGAGTTAGCTTTGCCCAAAGGCCGTTTGGACATGTGAGTGCTGCCTTTGTTCTTAAAGACAGGCAGGGTTTGGGATCCCACAGCTTCACTTTGTAAACCATTTTCGTGTCTTGCGTCTCCTGCTATTCTTGGTGAGTTCTTGCTTCAGTTTGACTGAAATTTCTTTTGCTGCACTTGAAGCATCTGTCTCTGGTCTTCTCTGAGTACACGCAAAGTGGCTAGTCCCTGTTCTCTTTGTAACAACTCACTGGGCCTCAGAACTGGCTCACAGTCTGCCTGCTTCTTGCCCTGTCTTCTAGCCTATTGTTTTCCTTCCCCTTGCTCCATGAATTTTGAATTCTACAGACCACTCCCTGTTGGGTTGCCACAAATGCAGCTCTGTGCAGTGCCTTTCCACAACACGTCTGCATTAAGATGGAGCAATATTGGGTGGTAGAGAAGGGAAATGAAGGGAAGGATTCTTAAGGCAACTTGGATGTGGTCAAGGTTGGCCTCTCTGTGAGGTGACACTTTCAGTTTTTATTTTCTGCCTTGCTATTCTTACCCTGAGTAGAACTCAGCCTCCTGTGTCCAGGAGGCATCAGGAAGGCCAATGGAAAAGAGCTCACACCAGGAGCTCTTCTTGCTCTGGTCCTGGCCAGGCCTTGTGAGGTGCTGGCTGCATTTGTTCTGACCCGTGTCCTCTTCTGCTGCAGAGTGATCATCACCATGCTGGTCGCCACCGCCGTCTGCTGTTACCTCTTGTAAGTACTACTCTCCCCAGCTCAAAGTCAGCCAGTTCCTTTGTCCTCCCTCCTTTCCTCCTCACCCTAGCCTGCTCTTCCTTCTGTCCTGGTAGTAAATGCCTCTTGAAAGGCTGAACCTATAAAACAACAGGAGTGGAGGTGGTGTGGAATGGGAAAGAGAGCAGTGGGCCAGAAGTCATGAACCCTGGGCTCTGGATCTGGCTCTGCCCCCAGAGTTCTGGCCCCCATGGGCTGTAGTTTTCTCACCTGGGCAAGGAAGGAGGCAGGCCACCTCAGTGCTGTCTGTGCCTGACTGGGTCACCTGGAGTGATTGTTCAAACACAGTTTTCAGGCTGCACCCTACACCCATGAAATTACAACTCTCGAGATCTGCACTTGGGAATTCCTGTTGTTCATGAATGCCCCCAGGTGACTGGAATGCAGCCATCTTAGAACCACTAGGTGAGAGGCCAGACGTGGCGGCTCACGCCTGTAATCCCAGCACTTTGGGAGGCTGAGGTGGGTGGATCACGAGGTCAGGAGTTCGAGACCAGTCTGGCCAACATAGTGAAACTCCGTCTCTACTAAAAATACAAAAATTAGCCAGGCCTGGTGGCGCGTGCCTGTAGTCCCAGCTACTCAGGAGGCTGAGGCAGGAGAATCGCTTGAACCCGGGAGACGGAGGTTGCGGTGAGCCAAGATCTTACCACTGCACTCCAGCCTGGGCAACAGAGTGAGACTCCGACTCTAAAAAAAGAACCACTAGGTGAGAGTAAGTCATCAAACTTGGAATAGGTACCCTGGGGATATAGAAGAACATTCCAAGGGACTTGAATACCTGGAGAGTGTGAGGAAATCAGTTTGCAGATCCTCAGTGTCTATTGTTTAGTCTCTTGCTAAAACTGCCATTCACAATAGCCAATCCCTCTTTATTAAAAAAATTTTTTAAAAGGAAAAAGAAAAAGACCCTGCCCCCGCATCCATCCCAAACCTGCGGTTACATTGCTCCATGTTTAGATGATCCTGGCTGCCAACCAAGAGATAAGTTCAAGTTCTAGTTTGTTGGGAGGCCTGTCTCATGGTTAATCAAGCTGCATTAAGGCTGTTGGGTTTCCCATCTTCCTATGTCTTGTACATTATTTTTATGGGTTAAGCTTGGCATCGTTGGGTGTTCTTAATTCAGAATAATCAAAACAGGACAGGTAAAGTGATGAGATGCTCATTCTTTAAGAGGTAACAGATTCTTTTGAAACAACTGGAATATTTTCCAGGGTTGCCAAATTTTTCAAAATACATAGGACAAAACCCACTTTCAAAAAATTTACTTCATTGATTTAAGATTTGATGTTATCATAGTTAAAATTGTTTTATCTGATTAGGTCATGGATTCTTTATTCCTATTAACCAATTCTCTTAATTTACCTTATGTTTTATTGATTGATTGATTGAAATGGGGTCTTGAGACCAGGCCAGTATGGTCTCAAACTCCTGGGCTCAAATGATCCTTCTGCCTCAGCCTCCCCAAGGAGCTGGGATGACAGGTGCACACCATTGCACCCGGCTGTTAACTAATTAGATAATTGACAGGGTCTTACTCTGTTGCCCAGGCTAGAGTGCAGTGGTGGGATCATAGCTCACTGCAGCCTCAACCTTCTGGGCTCAAGCCATCCTCCCACCTCAGCCTAGCTTTGACCACAGGCATGTGCCACCATGCCTGGCTGATTTTTAAATTTTCTGTAGGACAGGGTCTTGCCATGTTGCTAAGGCTGTGCTTGAACTCCTTGGCTTAAGTGATCCTTCCACCTCAGCCTCCTGAGTAGCTAGGATTACAGGTACACGCCACTGCACCCAGAAATGTATAAGCCCTCCTACTGACAAAAACTAAACTTGTTAGAAATAATGATGACTATTAACACATGGTTTAACTTAAACCCACTTTTTTTTTTTTTTTCAAAATTCTTCCTGGACAGAGCATTCTCTGAGGTCCTTTCTCTAATGCTATTTCTAGGTCCTTCAGGGCTTGAGAAAAGATCCTCATCTGCCCATGGCAGGGCCTCAGAGGGGCTTGTGTTTGGTGGCTGGGAGGGTGGGGGAGACGGGGCCTACACAAGATGCGGGGTAATCCCAAATACCAACTGAATCAACATACGGGAAACAGAAAACACACTGCAAATTGGATGCATACAGGTAGAAAGGTGGGGTCATTCTAAGAAAATGTTACGCCTAGAAATTATATTTACAAAACATAAACTCGGAGAGAATGCTGATGTAAAGGAGGTAACAATTTCTGATGGCTTCCTGGGCGTTAGGTCCTCCTACCTACTGTGAGGGATTCAAAGAGGGAAAATACCGATCCTTCCTGCAGAAACAGACAAAGCAGTGTGGATGTGGTCGTGGGGGGCCCTTCCAGGTCAGGCACTGACAGAGCGTGGGGACCTACTAACTACTGTGGCAAATGAAGTTGGGAGCTTTGTCATGAATGATGGGGCCAGACAGCCACCCACACGCCCAGCAGTGATGACAGGTGGGGCAGGTCCCTGAGGGTTTTCTGGCCTGAAGAACAGAGGTGGCCTGGCAGCAGCCTGAACAGGAGGCCCCTGACCCGTCAGCTCCTCACGTCTTGGGGTAGTTCCTTCTCTCATAAGAGGAGGTGATTCTGACGTGCTGCCCGCCAGGCCTGCCCTGTTCGCTCCCTGGTGCATGGAGCCGGGGGAGCCTGGACAGAGGTGTGTGAGGGCACAGCTGGGAGTCGCTCCCAAAGCGCCCCTGAGGCTGCCTCCCCTCTTCTCTAACCCCAGGTTCAGCCCCAACTCGGGGATCCTGCAGATCTACCGAACATCAAATGAAACCAAAACCAAACCCAGAAGTGCCATACCAACCCCATGTGCCTGCCGGAGTGTGGATGGCTCCCTGGGCCCTTCTTCACCCTGGGAACACAGGCCCTGCCATCTGCTGGGTTGGCCGCATCCAAAATAATATGACCGAGGCCTCCCCTGGGTGTGGGAGGACCCTCCTGTGCCAGGCTCACCATGCTTTGCTGTCCCTGGCAGCTGGCTCATCGCCATCCTGGCGCAGCTGAACCCCCTGTTCGGGCCCCAGCTGAAGAATGAGACCATCTGGTACGTGCGCTTCCTGTGGGAGTGACCCGCCGCCCCCGACCCAGGTACTGTGTGGGCGAGGGGTGTGGGTGGGGAAGAGGGGAAAGACAAGGCTTTCCCACACCCAGGGCAGGCCTCGGTCATATTATTTTGGATGCGGCCAACCCAGCAGATGGCAGGGCCTGTGTTCCCAGGGTGACGAAGGGCCCAGGGAGCCATCCACACTCCGGCAGGCACATGGGGTTGGTATGGCACTTCTGGGTTTGGTTTTGATTTCATTTGGTTAGAGTTCTTGTTGGGATTCAGGCATCTATTTATTTCATGAAAAGAAAAGGTGGGGAGGGGACTGAACATCAACTCCCTTCCTGCCTGGCCTGTGTTGGCCGCCAGGGATGAAATGGGAACCATGCTCCCAGCACCCCCCTCCCCCATCCTCACAGCGCTTCACCCCAAGGCAAGACCCTAACCTGGGCCCTAACCTGGACGGAGGGAGGGAAAGGGTAAGCTGAGGACTATCTGGGCAGGGGTGAGGGGGCTTTCCAGGGAGGGTTGGGGGCAGTGGAGTCTCCACTGCAAGGCCGGGACCCTTCCATGTGATGTGCTTTTCAGGTGCCCAGCTCTCGGAATGACTGTGGCTCCACTGTCCCTGACAACCCCTTCGTCCGGACCCTCCCCCACACAACTATGTCTGGTCACCAGCTCCCTCCTGCTGGCACCCAGAGACCCGGACCCGCAGGGCCTGCCTGGTTCCTGGAAGTCTTCCCAGTCTTCCCAGCCAGCCCGGGCCCTGGGGAGCCCTGGGCACAGCAGCGGCCGAGGGGATGTCCTGCTCCAATACCCGCACTGCTCTGGAGTTTGCCCTCTTTCCCAAGGAGATGCTGCTGGGGAGCTGGTATGGGTGGGGTCTTTCCCTTTACAGACGGGGCAGATGCCAGGACTCAGCCCATCCTGAGGAGGACACGTGTCCTCATGGAGAGGGTGCTCCGGCCCAGGCGGGGGAGTCAGTGCCCAGTCAGCAGCTCTGCCACCATCCTGCTGGGAACTGGGGGGGCCTCTATTGGGTTATAGGCAAGGCCTTTTCTCTGGCATGGAATTGTTAATTTTCTGACACGTCTAGATGTGAAATTTCTGAAAATGTTGAAGCAGAGAAACATTCACACACAAAAAGCAACATAGTCATGTGGGTCCAGATGGCCTCAGTCCTAGATGTTGGCACCCTTTGCTGTGTCTCCTCAGAGTATCCTGTTCCGCCTCCTGCCACCTGGACCTCCCTCAGTGGATGTCTTCCCTCCCCCGACCCCAGCCTGTCAGTCCGAGCACAGTGCAGGTTTGGCTCTGACTTGGGCTTTTGGCTGCAGTGGGGGTGGATTTCAGAGCCTCTCATGGCAGCATCTAAGTGACCAGAGCTGGGATGAGAGAGGGGAAGGGGCAATGTGAGTGGCGCTATGGGACGGGCCAGCCCTGCTCCTGAGCCAGCCCCGCCCTCTGCCCCCTGGCCCTGGGCTCTGTGCTAGGGATGGTGAAGAATGGGGGCGTGCCAGCCTGGCAGGAGTGGGAAGCAACACGCAGGGGTCCCGGACCTCTCCAGCCTTGCCCTCACGCTTACCCGAGCTCCCAGTGTGGTTAGCACAGAGCTCACCCACCTTGCCTGGCTCCCAGCTGGGGCCTGTCCTCACTGGTGCTCCAGGGGAAGAAACGACAGCCTCACTTCTGTATGGACTGCTGATGTGGCCTGCCATCCTGTTCAGCGGGCATTGTCTTTGGAGCAGCAGGAGAATAGGATGCCTCTCACTCACATGCCAGTTCCTGGCTGGCCAGCTGCTCAGGGCTCAGGCTGGGGCCTCCCATTGACATCCTCCCCCTACACTCCCTCTCTGAGCCTCCGTCGCCCCTCCTGTTGGGTAAGGGTGTTGAGTGTGACTTGTGCTGAAAACCTGGTTCATATATAATAAATAATGGTGATGAAAAGATTACTGTTTGGTGACAAAGCCCTGGCCTCTGCCTGTGTGCAGGTCCCCTGCCCCGCCCACCTGATTCTTGTTTCTCCAGTGGGTGGGTCTGGGGAGGGGAGCAGGGAAGGATTCTGGGAGCTGCAGTTATGAACACAGATATCCAGGACTACTTTCCTGAGATCTGGAGGAAAATCCGGCCCCCTGCTGACTGCCCGGATTCGGCGGAGAACCAGGCCTGGCAGGAAGACCGAGGACTTGTTCAAGTGCAGCTTTGAGCACCACTCGTCTGGGCCCCAGAGGACACAGTGCAGGACTCCTGCAGTGAAGCAGGTCGCCAGAGGCTTCAAAGCCTCCTTCATGAAATAGCCTAGGGCTGGGATCTGCCAGCACATCTCGCTGCAGGTCCAGTGGGGAAGTGGGCAGAGGGAGCCCAGCCCTCCAGCCCAGCCTGTAGCCCAGGGCAGAGCTGAAAGAACTTCCCTGGAGGGACAGGAGGGTGGGGCGGGACTGGAAGACGCACAATGGAGGCACCAGAGCACTGAGGGCGGAAAGCCAGCTGAGGAGCTTGGATGGATCCCAAGGGCCATGGGAGCCGTGAAAGGGATTTAAAGCAGGGCCGTGACATGGCCAACTGGATTTCTAGCATTATCTATCTCTACAAGCTGCACAGTGGACGGCAGGCTGGTTTGACATCTTTATTAGGGCCCCTGGTGGAAGTGGTGAGGACAGAGAAGCGAGGGGGGAGCTGCTTGGCTGTGACCCATAGAGACCGAGGCTGCCCGTGGTGGGGAGTGCAGCAGGGGCAGGTCTGAGAGTGGCTGTGGGAGCTGAGGTGTTCCTTTGTTTCCTGGTGAGTCGTGTGTGTCCAGGGCACCCCGTGGAAGTGTAGGTAGTGGCTGGCTGGGCGGTGGGGCGGATGGTCAGGAGGAAGATGAGGCTGCAGGAGGCAGAGTTGGAGCCATCGGCATAAATAACCGGTGATCCCTGAGGGGTGCAGGTTGCTCAGGGGGTTCAGAGTGAGAAAAACCCAGAAGAGAACCCCAAGGAGTGTGAGTTCACGGGGTGGGTGGGTGAAGGTGGCCTGTGGAGGATGCCGGGAGGTTGCAGGTAGCCGGAAGACAACCAGGTGAGTGTCACTCAGGAGGATGAGAGGTTCAACAGGAGAGAGTGGTTGAGGTAACACAGACCCCCATTGTCCTCTACCCCCAAGAAGTCAAGGTCAGCTGGCATCTTTGGTGATGGGCAGTAAAGTCAGACTGCAGTGGGCTGGGAGCGAGTGGGCAGGTGGGGGGTGAGAAACACAGTGACCTCAGGATGGGGACCCCGTGGACCCAGTGAAGCTGGACCTGGAAAGACCAAAGGGAGCTAAACAAGGAGGGACCTACTGGGCCCATTTTCCCATGTCGCTGTGGGTCAGCCCTGGGCCTGGGGGAACCACTCTGCCAGTTCCTGCCGCTGCACCTCTGAAGCCACACCCAGCCCGCCACAGGCCCACCATGGGGGCTTCAGGTTCAGGATGCTGAAGATCCACGTTGGCCCAGGATTGGGGTGGGGGGCATGTATCCAAAATGGCTACTTCCTTGTCTCGGCTTCTGCTCTTTGGGTTCTTGCCTTCTGTGATATTGGATTGGTGGCATCTTTAGACACTCTCCCGGGATGTGTGTGGCTGTGGCTGAATTCTCACTGAGCCCCCTGGGTGGCATCCTCTGGGCCTGGGAGGTGGAGTCCTGGAGAGCTGCTCGCTGCTCTCTGGGCAGCCTCTGGACTGCTGAGGGCTGGTAGCTCCTTCCCAGGCAGGGTGGCCTTTCTCACATCTTCCATCCTTCCTTCCTGTGCAGCCATTCCGGGAGAGAGGAGAGGGTCCCAGAGCTCATGTCCACTCCACTCCCTGGCACGATCTGGTCTCCCACCCTTTGGTGAGGACCGTGTTCCTCCCAGAGGCTTTCCCTCCAGGCCCGAGGTGGGAACCTGCAGGGTAAGTAGGTCTGTCAAAGATAAACTAAGCTGGACCTTAGTTAAAGCTACGAAAACAGACCTTATTCATTAACCACTGACAGGGGAGAAGCTGAGCTCCATTCAGATCTGTGCAGGGGGACTGGACAGTTTAATGGGAGAACGTAGGAGTCGGGAAAGGGCATTCCAGGGCTCAGGAATCATGGGAGTGAAAAATTACAAAGGGCTGTCTGTGTTATTGTGGCCGGGCCAGCTGTGTGTGCCAGCTGGCAGTGATGGAAGTTAGGTTCTGGCCTCCCCCAGAGCCTGGGAGACAGGCCCCATCCTTCCTGATGATGCCATTTCAAAGGACTGGCTCTCAGGCTCTTGAGAAAGACACTCCTGGACACACATGCATGTACATCTCAAAGGGACAAGGGAAGGAGGTACGACTCTAAGTGTTTTTAACGTAAATGCTCTAAGAAAGTGAGGGGGTGGTCAGAGGCCTGTTGTCAGGTGTTGGTAGGAACAAACACTAAATGATTTTGACGGCCTTGAGCTTTTTCAGACAGGAACTCAAAGGGTGGCCAGGTGGTCCCAGGGATGCCGCTTTGGGCTGCCAGAAGCCATGCTAGGGTTGGTCCAGTCTCTTGGTGCAGGGGTTTGGACACAGTCACTATGTACCCAACTTCTGTTAGAGTTATCAGTTTCAAACCCCACCCGTGCCCCCAACACCATCCCCAATGTGGGAGGCACATCAGTAAATATCAGCCTCTGACACAGATGCTCACGGACCTACACGATGCAAAAAAGCTCTAAAAATGGGCCGTGACTGAGAGCAGGGCAGCCCTGAACCATACCAAGTGGCAGAGCAGGAAGTGGCCTTGGAGGCCACGCTGAGACAGAGGACAAAGCCACTGAGAAAAAAAAGTAAAGGTAACCAAGAAAAGTTAAGCTGCACACAAAGAGTATGGCCAACAGAGGGCAGCGCCTGCGTGCAGGATGAAGTCTCTAGCGAGCCCTCGTCCAATCTGCGCATTGCTGGGGGTGGATGGTGCCGAGGTCAGAGATGGTGGCCCTAGAGTCATAGGCTTGAGCAGGGAGCCACGATAATTCTCCAGACAGTACCACAGCCTGGAGGAAACGCCCTTCAGGAATATTTCATAGTGGCAATGAATGACGAGCATTGAGCCATCATGAGGTGCCAGGCACTGCTTCGGAAACCAAAGGACCATGCTGAAGAGCTCTGTCGTTCTCCACTCTGATCCCAGGCTTCCCGAACCGTCTTCTGGTTCTGTCTTCCCGAACTGTTTCGTACCTCAGCATCCCTGAGAGATCTAGCACATTCCATTCTGTAACAGGGACGCCACAGGTTTTTAGTGGAGGGAGGGAGGGAGGGAGGTGCTGCTCCTGCTGGCCATAGGGTCCACGCTCCCTGCAGAAGCCCTCAAAGAGCAGCCCTCAGTTAATTTTGGCTGCTTTGAACAGAAATAGGATAGTTGGTAATTCTGGAACAGTGAGGAGCTGGAGGTGAAGTGAGAGGCGTGGCTAATCTCCTTATCTGTGTGCTGGAAGTGACCTGCTGGTAAAGCTTTGGGCTTCCGGGAATGAAATCAGCTGGCAGGCACCACAGTTTTGCTTGACTTGTAGCACTGGAAGATGAGGGCAGATGACCAGAGTCCTGTGTGGATTTAGGCCACATACTGGGTTAGCAAATCTAAATACGAATCTCTCATTGGGGAAATGTTGGTCAAAAGATAGAGAATTTCAGTTAGACAAGAGGAATAAGTCCAAGAGACCTAGTGTGCAGCCCATGGTGACAAAGTGCTCAACAGTGTGTTGTATGCTGGAAATTGATGAGAGTAGATTTCACAAAATGAAAAGTGAGGTAATGCATTTGTTATTAGCTCAATTTAGCCATTTCACAATGTATACACATTTCCAAACATGGTATATACCTACATGTATGCAATTTTTGTCAACTTAAAAAAAAAAAAGGAATCACTTAAGCCAAACAAAACAACCCATGGAATTCTGGGATGGAAGCCATGTCTATTACAAGAGAACCTCCAGGGATGAAGGAGGCTGGGGCTTTAGCCAGCTCTCCAGCTGCCTCTGCCCCAGGCAGACCCACACAGGGCCAGAGTTTGGGAATCATGCGCCGGGTGCAGCCTGCAGTGCTACTTGTCAATGTGGAGTATGGTCTACCTGTAACAGAATAATCTGGAATGCTTGAAAGTACAGGTTCCTGGGTCTCACACTGCACCCTATGGGTTTAGGGGATTCTAGACTCCACATTTTAAACCAGCTCCCAAGGGTTTTGGTGCTAACTGAAGCCCTCGAAGACAGGATGTCCAAGCCCTGACACTGTTGACAATTTGGGCTAGATAATTCTTTGGGTTTTTTTGTGGGGGAGGGGGAGCACGGGAGGGCACTGTTCTTTGCATCCTATGATGCTTAGCAGTACCGCCTCCCTTTACCCACCAGATGCTAGCAGAACCCCTCTCCCTGCTCCTGGCCATGACAACTATAAATGTCTCCAGCCATTTTGAAATGTTCCCTAGGGAAACACCCCTACCATTGAAACCACTGCCCTAGAACCTCAACCCCTCAAGGGATTTCCAAACTTAGTTATCAACCCAGACCCTCGGGAAAGGAGCCTGGGAGGCCCTGAGGGGAGCCGAGTGCCTTCAGCTGGCTTCCCCAGCAGGACTGGAGCTTCTGACCAGGAGACCACACCCCAGCAAGAAGTAAGCCCCCAAGCCGCCAGGGACTTCCAGGTATCAGAGCAGGCACTGATCCCAGCATGAGCTGGTCCCTCTGCGAGCTGGTGCTTCCCAGGAGGCCGGGGGCAGGGAGCTCCGGCACTGCCCCGAGCCCAGTGGAACTTTGTGTTCTCCCCGCAGGCGGCTTCCTGAGCAGGGTGGGCGGACACAGTTGGGATGGATGTTCTCACCCCTACAGGACCTCCGCCTTGGCTCCCTAACCTCAGGATTAAGGGCCATGATAGCAGCAAGGGTCTTCCTCCCTCCTGAAATGTCAGCATTTTGTCCTCTGACAAAGACCTGGGACACACTGGGGTGGTGACTTCATCTTCCCATTCTGTGTCCCACACAGCAGGAGCCCCAGGCTCTGAATTCCTGCGGATTCTGCAGCTTCAGTCAGCTGTGATGCCAGGTGCAAAGGCCTGGCCCTTGGCCGGCAGCAATTGATTCAGCAAACATATTTCTCTTTTTTCTCTCTACCCAGACTCCCAGAAGCAGTTTAACTTTACTTAGCAGCTCAGCTCAGCTTGGAGGTTGAGAGTGCAGAGTCTACAACTGGATCAAATTCCAGCTCTGATGATGATTAGTTGAGTGAAAGTGACTTAATCTTTCTGAGCTTCATTTTTATTGATGAATCAGGATAATATTAGTAGCACCTGCCTCATAGAAGTTGTGCATATGAACTGAGATAATGGACTAAAGTGCTCAACTGGTCGATAAATGCTATTAATTTCATTATATTTACATATTAACTATTTAATTCCATGCCACATTTTATTCTGCCAGGATCTCAGCTTCCTTCCCCTTTTCTGTTCCTGTCATGGTCACCACACTGATGCACTTTGCGGAAGAGAAGGTGGCAAGTGCCCTGTGTGCTTTTATATGTGAGACAGGACCTGACAAATAAGTACTATGAAAAATACCTGGGGCCTGCTTATGTATCTGCATTTTTGTGTTTCCTGTCGAATGTCTTTAATGTATAAATGTAGCATCTTCTCAGTAAAAACACAAATGCTTTTGGAGGACGGGGGGAGGAAGCAGATACTAGAATTGGCATGCTGTTTCTAAAGCCCTCTGGGAAAAACAAACATGTAAGAAATAACCAAGATATTCCTGGAAAAGCAGAGTATTGAGAGGGACACTGGCACTCCAGATACTAAAAAGTCTAAGATAAAGATACCATTTGCAAGGCTACAGAAATGCAAACAGTGGGGCTGGCACATGAACACACAGACGACTCAAGGGGAGAAAATAAGTCCAGAAATAAATTTACAATCAGGAATTAAGAATATGATAAACAGCCAGACACAGTTTCTCACACCTGTAATCCTAGCATTTTGGGAAGCCAAGGCGGGCGGATCCCTTGAGCCCAGGAGTTCGAGACCAGGCTGGGCGTCATAGTGAAACCCTGTCTCCACTAAAAATACAAAAAGTAGTCGAGTGTGTGTAGAGGTGTGAGCCTGTAGTCCCAGCTACTCAGGAAGGCGAGGTAGGGGAAATACTTGAGCCCAGGAGGTTGAGGCTACAGTGAGCAGAGATTGTGCTCCTGCATTCTGGCCTGGGCGACAGAGCGAGACTGACTCAAAAAAAAAAAAAAAATGAATATGATAAACATAGCAAACCAAATACATAAGGAAGAGATGAGTAGGGCAATGAACAGTGTCCAGAGTCCCAGCAGCAAAACACATACAAAATGGAAAGAAACTATAAATGTACTAGAAAAAAATTGGAGAATTTTTAAAATTATCATGTAATAGGGAAGGTCTATCTCAGGGGAAGAAAGAAAAAAAGAAATCCAGAGGCTATGAAGATAAAACTTTATACATTTAACTAAGTTAAAATTTACATTTTCTTCAAGGCAAAAACCATACAAGTAGATAAATGAGCAAATGACACAAAAGAATTCACAGAAGAAGACATGTAAAAGACTTTTGAGCATGAAGAGATGCTTAGTCAAGGAAAGCAAATTCAAACAGCAATGTAACCTCCTTATTACCTTATTAACCTGCTTATTACAGAGAGCGAGACTGTGATAACAGACTGTAGGTCTGTGCTGCCTGCTGCAGTGCATCTCCCCATGCTCTTGGTGCTCCCATACACGCCAGGCGCCTTCCAGGTGCCAGCACTGGCTTCCTTCCTGGGCAGCAGGCTGGACGTACCATCAGGAGTTGGTATATAAACTGGCTCCCAGAGCTGCCCATAGTGTCGCTGGCTTGCACATGTCCTGGATGGCCTACTGGGCCCAGAAAAGGTGAAATGTGAGGAGCACACTAATCACAAAATGACCCGAGCCAAGTCGAGCCAATCCTGGGCTAGACTGGCCAAACCCCATGATATGATTTGGCTGTGCCCCCACCCAAATCTCAACTTGAATTGTATCTCCCAGAATTCCCCTGTGTTGTGGGAGGGACCAGGGGAGGTAATTGAATCATGGGGGCTGGTCTTTCCCATGCTATTCTTGTGATAGTGAATACGTCTCAAGAGATCTGTTGGATTTATCAGGGATTTCTGCTTTTGCTTCTTCATTTTTCTCTTGCCGCTGCCATGTAAGAAGTGCCTTTTGCCTCCTGCCATGATTCTGAGACCTCCTCAACCTTGTGGAACTGTAAGACCAATTAAATCTTTTTTTTTCCCCCCAGTTTCAGGTGTGTCTTTATCACCAGTGTGAAAACAGACTAATACAGGCCAGCTGATGCAGACATACTAGCCAAAATTAAATGCCTGTTGTTATAAGTCAGTTTTAGGGTGTTTTGTCATGCAGCATTATTGCGGCACACCTGACTGATACAATACTGTTACATACAGATCTAGTTCATTAGTGACATACACTTTCTTTGTCCACCCCCCTATTAATGACCCCTGTGTTACTTCCAGATTAACAAATAGTAAGCATCTTTTATATGTCTTTGTGCACATTTGCTGGAACTTCTCTAGGATATATATCTAGGAGTCAAAGAGCTTTTAATATTACAAGAGATTGCCAAATTTCTCTCCAAAATGATTGTTTCAATTTACACTCAACCAACCTTGTGGCATGAGCCACAGCACCTGGATGGTAGTTGGTTTTAACTTGCATTTCCCTAATAGCTGCTAAGCTTGACTCTTCACCTGTTTATTGGACATTTCGGTTTCCACTTCTCTAATTTGCCTACTCAAATCATTGGCTTGCTTTTCTATGACTTTTTTTGGTCTTTTCCCTATTGATTTATAGAAGTTCTTTATATATTCTTGGCTACAAGTTCCCCTAATCCTAGTGAATCTAGTGCCAGGAACAGGGAAGGAAGGAGGAAGTGGGGAGAGAGGGCAAGATCAGACAGCCTCATTTCTCCTTCTGCTCTTCAAAACCATTGTTGCTGGGCGTGGTGGCTCACACCTGTAATCCCAGCACTTTGGGAGGCCAAGGCGGGTGGATCACCTGAGGTCAGGAGTTCGAGAACAGTCTGGCCAACGTGGTGAAACCCCGTCTCTACTAAAAATACAAAAAGTAGCCGGACGTGGTGGTGAGCGCCTGTAATCCCAGCTACTTGGGAGGCTGAGGCAGGAGAATCGCTTGAACCTGGGAGGCGGAGGTTGCAGTGAGCTGAGATCACGCCACTGCACTCCAGCCTGGGCGACAAGAGTGAAACTCCACCTGAAAAAAAAATAAAAAATAATAAAAAGAAATTAAAAAAAAACCATTGTTAAAAAAATGAAAAGCAAACCACAAACTGGAAGAAACTATTTGTAAAGCATATATCTGTCAAGACTTGTATCTTGAATATATAAAGAACTCATACTTAAACAACATGACAAACCTAAGTTTTAAAAGTGGGCAAATTTGAACTCTTACTTCACAAAAGAAGAACTGCAGCCCTACCTTAGATCATGCACAGAAACAAATTTCAGGAAGGTCAAAGACCTAACCCCAAAGAGCAAAATGTCAAAGTGTTTAAAGTAAATCATAAGAAAATGACTTCCTGACATCAGAAAAGGGAAAAATTTTCTAAATCAGGCTGGGAAAAGATCGCTGTGGTACATATTTATGAAAGATTGGCATCCAGATTATATAAACAACACTGACAAATTAATCTAAAAAATACAGTTGAAAAATTGGCATGTATATTCCCAGCAACTCACAAGGAGGGAAACTTGAGAGGCCAGTCAGTAGGTGAAAAATATACTTAGCCCCATTAGTAATCAGGGAAATGTACATTAAAGTCACAATGAGACATTTCATACTCATCAGATGGGCAAGTTATGTCTGCCAGCACAAAAGGCTGGAGAGGATGGGGGAAATGTAAGTAGGGGTGCAAATGGAGGCAACCCCACCCCATCTCCACAAAAAATTTTTAAAAATTAGCCAGGCTAGTGGCTTCTACCTGTGGTCCGAGCTACTCAGGAGGTTGAAGCGGGAGGATCAACTGAGTCCAGAGTCCGAGGCTGCAGTGAGCTAGGATTGTGCCACAGAACTCTAACCTGGACAACAGAGCAAGATCCCATTTCTAGAAAAATAAAATACAGAGCAAAACAGTAAAATAAAATAAACCACTGTGGATGTACAGAGAAAACAGAGTGGCCTGTGAAACGCAGTGGCCATACTTGGCAATTTCAGCTGTGAAGACACAGCCAGGGAAAAAAAATCAAAGACTGGCTTTAATATACATTAAATACATATATTCGTTATAGAGTTATTCCATATTTAATAGTTATTCCAATAACTATTAGCCTTATAGTTCAAATATTTCTTATACCAGATAATTCTTAAAAACACTTCATATCCTAACATCAGAAAGAATTTTATAATTGGATCTGGGACCATTTGACAATGTACTTGCATGAAAAAAAATCCAAACCTAAATTATGCAGGTTTAATACGCAGCTTACGTCACATGAAACTGCCCTCTATAAAGCAAGCATTCTGTACATATAATTAATTTTAACTTGATGAAAAGAGCATCTCACGGAAGAAAACATGTAATGTTGAGTAGAACCACTAGAGAACGAGGAGATATTTCTTCTCATTTATCTGTGATGTTTCATTTCATTTGAATGAAATCAGTTAAGTATATAATTAGGGCCCATAACTCAGTTCAGTTTTATTTTACAGTAACATTTAAACCCTAGAAAAAAACAACATCTTGACCTGGTTTCCTCTGCTATAAGTGGCAATAATTACAATCATCTTGCTATGTCTCAAGAAAACTAAAGTAGGCAGTTGGTTTATCCAAATCCATTCCTCCTTCTATTGTCCTTGCTTTTGGAGGCCTGTTTAGCTACTTACCCTCCTCCAGGGTCCAGAACATCAGACAAGTTCTCCTGGTCCCCACACCAAGGAGAAAGTCTTCAAGAATCTAAACCAGTCACAGTAAATCCATTCCTATTGCTCTAACCAGGTTAGGCATAGGCAGATGGGGCAAATGTGCTGGGAAGGTTTCTGGGAAAGGGTCTCTAAATTCTTAAAAAGTGCAAGGGAAATCTTCTATCTCTGTATAGAAATGTCCAAAGAGGTGATCTAGGAATTTGGCAGCCACCCTGGACCCAGGGGGAACAAACAGAAGAGCTCCAGCTAGTGCCCTAGGCTGCATGTGCAATTCCATCACTGAGCTGCTAAAACAACAGCCCTAGAGCTGCCTCACTTGGGCTTCCTGTTTGGTGAGCTAACAAGCCCCTTTTTGTTCTGAACGTTTTTATTGAGCTTTATTTTCAAAAAAGCAGCCTGATTCATGCACATATCTTTAGAAGAAATTTAAAACGCCCTAGAAAAGAATATCTTCAGTTTAAAATCTAAGCAATTTGGAATTTACAGGAATATATTCCTCTTAGTTCCAGTTACTCACCATTAAAAAATAATGGTCCTCAGGTTCAGCTCGAAGATATTTAAAAACCACTTGCTCCATGAACCTTTCCATAAGATCCCAGTCTTCAATGATTCCATGTCGTATCGGCCACTGGAGGAAGAGACACCAGAGTTGTCAAGCCTCAGTTCGCAACAATAAGAGCAACAGTTTAACAGTGGCACAGAAGAAACTGTATTATTAAGAATAAAGGTCTCCTTCTCATTGCAGTTGTTGTTAATTCTTGTAAAGAAACAACAGCATTTGGAAAAAAAAGATTAAGTTACATTATTGTTCATATTCTCCTCCACTCATTTCCACAAACAAAGAATCACCTTAACAATGACACGGAGGCAGGCCAGGCACAGTGGCTCACGCCTCTAATCCAACGCTTTGGGAGGCCAAGGCAGGAGGCTCACCCGAGCCCAGGAGTTCGAGACCAGCCTGGGCAACATAGCAAGACACTGTCTCTACAAAAAATTAAAAAATCAGCCAGGCATGGTGGTGCGTGCCTGTAGTCCCACCTACTTGGGAAGTTGAGGTGAGAGGATTGCTTGAGCTCAGGAGGTCGAGGCTGCAGTGAGCCAAGACGGCATCACAGCACTCCAGCCTGGATGACAGAGTAAGACCTATCTCTAAAAAAACAACAAAAAATACAATGAGGAACCGATAGAAAACTGCAGCTAATTATCATACAATTGGATCTGGAGCTTTAAAAAAAAAAAAGTCTGCTTAAATAACGTTAGTGTTTCTTTTTAATTAACCAATCTGCAATTTTCCCTCATCTGACAGGTTAGTCAACCTGTCAACAATTTTCCAGGGGAGGGGATCTTGCTTTCATGTGTGACCTGGTGTTTCCTGAGTCTATTCTGCATTCCAGGGATCTGTTAATTCCCTTAATTCTCCAATCAAAAATACCCCCATTCAAAACCAACCATCACCACCACCTCTATTCAAACATAAGAATTCAAACATAAGAATAGAAACACATTCTACAACTCGCAAATACAACTTCTAGATGACCATTTTGCATTACTCATCCTACTGCTCTACACTTAGAGAAGCAGACACCTGTCGGAAATTTACCTTTGTAGCATATGTAGGTTTATCGATGGCTTCATCTCCTATGAAAAAGTCAAGGTCATCAACTCCCCTCAACACTCTCCTTTGGGCTTGGTCAACTACCTTTGCTGACTCTCTGATGGCAATACCTTAAAAAAACACACACACACACAGATTTCTATCACTATCCATATCTATTTAAATGATCAAAAGGGATAATATCCTAATATACACACAAGTAAATTTTCATTGTTAGGGCTCCATGTGGGGTGAAGGGTGCTCACAGAAAAGACAATGTCAATGAGTACATAAAATAATACAGAAACAGGTTATTCTATTCTGGTATGATTTTCAGAATGGGACAAAGGAAATGAGCTGCTCTACTTTTATACTGACAGAAGGTCCATTGCAAAATTTCTCAGTTTTATCTGGAAAAATCCCTCAAGATAGTAAGTGAAATGCCTATACATCAGTAGGTTCCAAATTTAAAATACAATATGGAAGGGGACAAAATTCTGTACAATACAGAAAAGGAGAGTAAACTGAAAAATAATGTCTATAATAAGACTCTACATCACATAGCCTTAAAATGTACTTTTAGTCTTGTTACAGGAAGAAAAAAAGCCGTTAAAATTTATCCCATTAAAAGGATAAATTAGAATGTTATTGGTTAATATCTGTAGCCAAAAAAAGTACCATAATCAAATAACTATTACATAAAAATTCCAAATATTAATGGCTTTATAATTCATTATTTTAATAAGATCTTAACCTTAAATATTTGGGAATATACTTAGCAGTAAATAATCATATCAAACTTCACTCCAGAATTTAACAGCTAATGAAATGTGGAGGGCATCACAAAGATTCCATTTTCCATTCAAATTTCTAACTCCTGCTCACACTCTCGAGCTCTCCCATGAGCTATTTTCATCCATCAGGTCTCGACATCAACACCATCTCCTCACTTGAGGGCTTCCTTGACAACCTGCAGTTCTGTACACGTGTTTGATGCTTCCACTGGCCCTTTTATTCCTGCATTAAGGCATTTTTCTGGATGAATTACAATTGTTTAAGATCAGTCTACCAAACTGTAGATTCCTTGATGTCAGATAACATCCATCTTTTACTGTCTCTCCAGTGGGAGGCTCAGATGTCAATAACTAATAATAATAATAAAAGTTTACATTTATTGAACACTCTGCTAAGTGTTTCCTTTTGCACACTATTTTATTAAATCCTCACAATAGCTTATGAGACAGGTACTATTATCTGCATTTCACAGAAATGGAAGCTTAACAATCTATCAAGGTCACACAGCTTCTAAGACACAGACAGGATTTGCACCTAAGCAGGCCGCTGGCTATCAGAATAGACATTAGAGAAATATTTGTTAAATTAACATTTTACTCCACTAAAATATTTATTGTGGGTTTGAAAAATGGTCAAACTATACCTAAATAATTCTAACATAAACCTAATTCCATAAATATACTAATGGCTTCTCACTGTCCTTAATGTATTTCTGATGAAAGTACGACTCTGTAGCTATACAAATGTAAGTGCTAGATAAAATTTCTCTGAATCAAAATCTTTGTGACTTACTACACAAAGTGATGTACAGAGTCAGTACAGTCCTTATCAAAATACCAATGGCATCCTTCACAGAAATAGAAAAAATAATCCTAAGTTCACATGGAACCACAAGAGACCCCAAACAGTCAAGGGAATCTTAAGCAAAAAGAAGAAAGCTGGAGGGATCACACTACCTGACTTCAAAGTACACTATAAAGCTACAGTAATCAAAACAGCTTGGTACTGGTATAAAAACAGACATATAAACCAGTGGAACAAAGAGCCCAGAAATGAATCCATGTATTTACACTCAACTGATTTTACACAACGGGCAAAGTGTAAATGTTACTGGGGAAACTGGATATCCACATGCAGAAGAATGAAAATGAATGCTTATCTCTCAACCATATACAAAAATTAACTCAAAATGGATTAAAGACTTCAATGTAAGACCTGAAACTGTGGAACTATTAGAAGAAAACGGTAAAATGCTTTATGACATTGGTCTGGGCAAGGATTTTTTTGGACAAGACCTCAAGAGCACAGGTAACAAAAATAGATAACTGGAATTACATCAAACTAAAAGTCTTCTGCACAGCAAAGAAAACAATCAACAGAGTGAAGAGACAATCTATAGAATGGGAGAAACTATTTGCAAACTATCTACCTGACAAAAGATTAATAATCAAAATATATAAAGAACTCAAACAGCAATAAAAAAAACAAATAACCCAAGTGAAAAATGAGCAAGAGACCTGAATGGACATTTCTCAAAAGAAGACATACAAATGGCCAACAGGTATATGAAAAAATGCTCAATATCACTAATCATCGGGGAAATGCAAATCAAACCCACAATATCAATCACCTCACCCCACTGAGAATGGCAATTATCAAAAAAGCAAAAGATAATAAGTGTTGGTGATGGTGTGACAAAAAGAGAACCTTTATACACTATAGGTGGGAATGCAAATCAGTAGAGCCATTATGGAAAACAGTATAGAGGCTCCTCAAACAATTAAAAATAGAACTACCATACGATCCAACAATCCCACTACTGGGCATATATCCAAAGGAAATGAAATCAGTATGTTAAAGAGCTATCTGCACTCCCATGTTTACTGTAGCACTATTCACAATAACCAAGATCTGGAATCAACCTACGTGTCCATTAACGGATGAACAGATAAAGAAAATGTGGCTTTATAAACAGTGGAATACTATTCAGCCATTTAAAAAAAAAAAGGAAATTCTGCCATCTGCCCACAACATGGATGAACCTCGAGGGCATTATGTTAAGTAAAATAAGCCAGGCACAGAAAGACAAATATCACATGGTCTCATTCATATGCAGGATCTTAAAAAGTTGATCTCATAGAGGTAGGCTATAGAATGGTGGTTACAGGGGGCTGAGGCTGTTCGGGGATGGGAAGGACAAGATGTTGGTCAAAAAATACGTAACTACAGTTAGATAGGAGAAATAAATTACAAGAGATCTAGCATACAACGAGGAGACAACGGTTAATGACGATATATTGCATTCTTAAAAAATGTAGAGTACATGTTATGTGCTCTCACCACAAAAATGATGACTATATGAGGTAATGCATTTGTTAATTAGCTAGATTTAACCATTCACAATGTATATAGACTTCAAAACATCATATTATACACGATAAAAACACACAATGTTATCTGTCAATTTAAAAAAATAAAATCAGAGCCAGCTGTGGTGGCTCATGGCTCATGCATGTAATCCCAGAGACTCACGAGGCTAAGGCAGGAGGATAGCTTGAGCTCAGGAGTTTCAGAACAGCCTGGGAAACATAGCAAGACCCCATCTCTAAAAAAGCTAAAAAATTAGCCAGGCACAATGGCACACATGCCTGTAGTCCTAGCTACTTGGAAGGATCACTTGAGCCCAGGAGGTTGAGGCTGCAATGAGCTATGATAGCCCCACTGCACTCCAGCCTGAGCAACAGAGTGAGACCCTATATCAAAAAAGTTTAAATTTTTAAAAACTGTTTTTAATTAAAAAAATTTTTAAAATCCTTGTGACTGAATTTCAGGAGAGAGTAAATAATGTTTCTAGGCCAGGCACAGTGGCTCACACCTGTAATCCCAGCACTTTGGGTGGTCGAGACAGGCAGATTGCTTAAGTCTGGGAGTTTGAGACCAGTCTGGGCAACATGGTGAAAACCTGTCTCTACAAAAAAAAAAAAAAAAAAAAAACACAAAAACTAGCCGGGAGTCCCAACTACTTGGGAGCCTGAGACAAGGGGATTGGGAAATTGAGGCTGCAGTGAGCCATGATCACGCCACCACACTCCAGCCTGGGTAACAGAACAAGACCCAGTCACAGACAAAACAAACAAAGAAAAAACAGTTTCTGATATGAACTAATTTCTTCAAACAGTCCAGCCAAGTTAATTTTTCTGCACAGCTACTACATGAATGAGCACACAGACTCTGAAGTTATGAAAACCTAGGTTTGAGCACTTACTAGTTAGCTGACTTGAGGAAAGTTATTATTAACCCTCAGTGCTCTCTCCTCCAAAATGCATATACCACTACCTATCAGGGTGGTGAGTATTAAATGGAACAATGTTTACAAAGTGTTTAGCAGAGACTGTGGTAGAGAATAGTACTCAATAAACAATATTATCTATACTAAATTGGAGACCAAATTTGTGACTGGCGGAACTGAACAGGTACCCAGATACAACCATTCCAGAGAAGAACTGAGAAAAATATTATAATATGTTTATCCAGCAATTCCACTTCTAGAATTTCATTCTAAAGAAATAATCATTGAGTAAATAAAAGTATATACATAACAACACTCTTTGTAGAACTAATTATAATAGCAACAAATTGAAGGAGGAAAGTTAACTGACCTGAAATCAGAGATCAGGTAAATAAATTATATCAAATCCTTAGAAAGAGCTGCTAAGGCTGGGCGCGGTGGCTCACGCCTGTAATCCCAGCACTTTAGGAGGTCGAGGCGGGTAGATCACCTGAGGTCAGGAGTTCAAGACCAGCCTGACCAACATGGTGAAACCTCATCTCTCCTTAAAAATACAAAAATTAGCCAGGCATGGGGGCAGGCACCTATAATCCCAGCTACTTGGGAGGCTGAGGCAGGAGAATCACTTGAACTTGGGAGGTGGAGGTTGCAGTGAGCTGAGATCGCGCCACTGCACTCCAGCCTGGGTGACAGAGCAAGACACCGTCTCCAAAAAAAAAAAAAAAAAAAAACAAGAGCTACTAAGTTGCCTTTCAGAATATCCACAGTATGACTCCACTTCAGACAGAGTTTGCACGGGTGTGTTTAATGTAAATTCAGAAAAATAAGATGGCCAGACAAAGGATTAATACTGGTTAACCATGGATGGTAGAGCTACTGGTGACTTTTGCTGCTTCTACTGGGTATATTGGTTTTTCAGCTATTAAAAAGAAGCTAAACAAACATAATAAAAGTAAAAGCTAATCTTTGGTTTGTGAGCGAAAGCATTTAACCTGTTACCTCTCAAAATCATTTACCTTTAATGCCTCATTTCCAAATGAAAAGTTTTCAAGGTAAGTCAGGCTATAGAATTTTCTCAAACAGAGAGCTATTAAGCTAGCTAGAAATTTATATTAAAATTTGTTCCAAGACAAATTAGTAAACATATACAATTATTTCTAAAAGTAGATTATCTGGAACCTCCAATTTACTACAAATGAAGAATAACAACACAGCTATAAGAGTGAATTTGAGGCCAGGAGCAGTGGCTCACGCCTGTAATCCCAGCACTGTGGGAGGCCAAGGTGGGCAGATCACCTGAGGTCAAGAATTCAAGACCACCCTGGCCAACATGGTGAAACCCCATCTGTTCTTAAAATAAAATAAAAAATACAAAAATTAGCTGGGCGTGGTGGCCCATGCCTGTAATCCCAGCTACTCAGGAGGCTGAGGCAGGAGAATTGCTTGAACTCAGGTGGCAGGGGTTGCAGTGAGCTGAGATCATGCCACTGCACTCCAGCCTGGGTGACAAAGTGAGACTCCATCTCAAAAAAAAAATAAAAAAGAGTGAAACTGAAGCCTTTTTCTCAGAAGGGCATCTTGAGGTAACAGGATAAAAAGGTGAAAAGAAAAAGACACAGGGCAGAAATCACTTTCCCCACCTCCTTTTCTCATTGCAACTCACTGCCACATTTAAAGTCTCAAAGATATCAAATTATAAA
The DNA here is from genome assembly GCF_000001405.40 of Homo sapiens. Taxonomy (NCBI): domain Eukaryota; kingdom Metazoa; phylum Chordata; class Mammalia; order Primates; family Hominidae; genus Homo; species Homo sapiens. The sequence continues at coordinate 149,898,052 of NC_000007.14, forward strand.
CAGTGGCACACAAGTAAAGGACAGAACTTCAGCAGAACTGAAGAAAGCACGAGTGAAGTGGAAACACGGGCTGAAATGAGAAGTGAAGAGGACATTGGAGATCTTGGGCTGAACATGGGCTAGAAAAGTCTTGTGGGCCACGACGACTGAGGTGATCTGTAGAAATAGATAACATCCATCTCTGACCACACCATTCAATGGCACACTGACTGACACCACACAGAACCATCTGATGTACAAGTCTGGTATTCCAAAGGGCCACTGCCAATGTGCCAACACAAGTGACAGATACTATCCTCTAGGCAAGATCAAACTTAATTGTGTGTGAATCCAGAATTAAACTGTCAAGTCAATATAAAAGATTGTAAAGATAGCCGGGCGCAGTGGCTCACGCCTGTAATCCCAACACTGTGGGAGGCTGAGGTGGGCAGATCACAAGGTCAAGAGATCGAGACCATCCTGGCCAACATGATGAAACCACAACTCTACTAAAAATACAAAAATTAGCTGGGCATGGTGGTGCGCACCTGTAGTCCCAGCTACTCAGGAGGCTGAGTGAGACAGGAGAATTGCTTGAACCCAGGAGGTGGAGGTTGCAGTGAGCCGAGATCACGCCACTGCACTCCAGCCTGGCAACAGAGCAAGACTCTGTGTAAAAAAAAATAATAATCAAAAAGAATAAAAATAAAAATAAATTAAAACACATCACACACACACACAAAGTATACTTCTTTTAACAACTATACAGGAAGCAACTGTATCCATACAAGAGAATAAAAGTATATAGAGCTTATATTCCAAATATTTTGTCTATACCTATGGAACAAGATGTGGCCCAAACAGTTCTTATGAACACAATGGAGAAATCTGTCTAAATAATCTATGTCACCCAAGCTATCTCTAGTACAGCACAACATACCACAGTCCCCACTTCCACCCCGGCCCAGCAGTAACATGGAGCTCCTCCCCAAGTGAGTGTCAACAAAGGCCAAAAGGAGAACCTCAACTTTGACCCCCACACTGGCAATAATGAAGTGGTATCCCCATTCCCCTGCTGGAGTAGTGTCAGAAAAGACTTGCTAAAACACAAAATTAAAATAAGAACCTCATAACATAATACCCAAAGTATCTAGGTTTCCACTTTAAAACTCTCACCGTGGCAAAAACCAGTAACATCTCAACTGAAAAGAGAAAAGACAATGAATAGACAATGCCACCGAGATAACACAGACATTATAATTATCAAACAAGGATTTTAGGAGCCATCACAAAATGCCTCAATGAGCAATCTCAAATACTCTTGACTCTTGAAACAAATGGAAAATAAAAGGAAGTCTCAGCAAGCAAATACAAAGCCACAGCAAAGAAACAAGATATAAAGACAAAACCATATGGAAATTCTAGAATTAAAAATCACAATAACTGAAATAAAAATCTTAAGAGATGGCCTCAACAGAAGAAAAGGACAGAGGAAAGAAACACTGAACTTGAAGACAGAATAACAGACATTACCCAGTCCAAACAAAAGACAGAAAATAGACTGGAAGAAGTAAAAAAAAAAAACAGAGCCCAGAGCCTCAGGGACATCTGGGATATATAAGAAAAGATTTAGCATTTGTGGATTACAATTCCCAGAAGGAAAAGAGAAAGAAGGCAGGACCAGAAGGTATGCAAAGAAACAATGGCTAAAACTGCCAAATTTGGCAAGAAAAAAAAAAGGGAAGAGAAAAAGAAATAAACTAATAGATTCAATACTGAACAAACCCCAAATAAGTTAACCCGAAACAAAACAAAACAAAAAAAATCCATTCCAAAACACATTATACTCAAACTTCTAAAAACTAAAGACCAAAAAAAAAAAAAAATTCAGCTTCCAAGGACATTTCTCATCAGAAATCTTGACACACACACACCAAAAAAAAAGGTACCACAACATTTTTGTGCTGAAAGAACTGTCCATCCAGAATTCTATGTTCAGCAAAAATATCCCCTGAGAATAGAGCAAATCAAGACTTTCCGTTGAAATAAAACTAACACAATTTGTCAACAGCACACCTACTTCAAAAGAATGGCTTGGGATGTTCAGGCAGTCCATTATTTTTGTTGTTGTTGTTTTTGTTTTTGTTTTTTTGGTTTGTTTTTGAGATGGAGTATCGCTCTGTCACCCAGGCTGGAGTGCAGTGGCGCGATCTCAGCTCACTGCAACCTCCACCTCCCGGGTTTAAGCGATTCTCCTGCCTCAGCCTCCCGAAATAGCTGGGACTACAGGTGCACGCCACCACGCCCAGCTAATTTTTGTATTTTTAGTAGAGACAGGGTTTCACCATGTTGGCCAGGATGGTCTCAATCTCTTGACCTCATGACCCGCCTGCCTCTGCCTCCCAAAGTGCTGAGATTACAGGCATAAGCCACCGTGCCCTGCCTATGTTTCTTTAATTAAGAATAAATAAATAAATATTAAAAAGAATGGCTAAAGGAAGTTCTCTAAAGAGAAAAGAAATGATAAAAGAAGGAATTTGGGTACATCAAGAAAAAAGAAAGAACAATGGAAAGATCAAAAATATGGATCATAATTATTTTCCTTTTCCTCTTGCGTTTTCTAAATTATGTCTGGCAGTTGAAGCAAAAATTATAACTGATGTGAATCTCATGAGATTCAATGTATATCAAGGAAAGATTTAAGACAATTATATTAGAAATGGGGGGCCAGGCACAGTGGCTCACACCTGTAATCCCAGCACTTTGGAAGGCCGAGGCAGGTGGATCACTTGAGGAGTTTGAGACCAGCCTGGCCAACATGGTGAAAACCCATCTCTACTAAAAATACAAAAATTAGCCGGGCGTGGTGGTGGGCACCTGTAATCCCAGCTACTCAGGAGGCTGAGGCAGGAGAATCGCTTGAACTCAGAAGGCAGAGGTCACAGTAAGCCGACATCACACCACTGCACTCCAGCCTGGGCAACAAAGCGAGATTCTGTCTCAAAAAAAGGCACACACTGTATGAGTAGTAGCATTACTGCTGAGTAGTATTTAGTGTATGATGTAGCACCGTCAGTTTAAATATTAATCTATTGAAGAACATATATTATGCAGATGATAAAATTATAGAGATGAAAACAGAGTAGTGGTTAAGAACAGTGGAGGGAGAGGAGTAAGTGTAATTATATAGGAATAGCACCAGAGAGATCTTGGTAGTGAGAAAATAATTCTGTAACTTTATTACAGTGGTAGTTCAAGGAATCTACAGGTAGAATTACAATGACATAGAACTATACACACACATTGTACCAACATCCGTTTCCTGGGGCTGGTCTGTTTTTGTTTTTATTTTTTAGAGACAGGGTCTCACTTCTGGTTATAACATTGCACTACAATTTGTAAGATGTAACCTTTGGGGGCAAAATAGGAAAAGTGTACACAGGATCTCTCTAAACTATCTTTGCAACTTCCTATTAATCTATAATTATTTCAAAATAAAATATTTTAAATACAGAGTTTATAAATGACTTAAACTAGAAAATAAAACACTTCAGCTATAATGATGAATCAAAACTAATAAGATTAAACTTAATAATAAAGAACAATGGGCCGGCACAGTGGCTCACGCCTGTAATCACTTTGACAGACTGAGGCAGGTGGATAGCTTGAGGCCAGGAGTTCAAGACTAGACTGGGCAACACAGTGAAACCCTGTCTCTATTAAAATTACAAAAATCAGCCAGGCATGGTGGCACATGTCGGTAATCCCAGCTACTTGGGAGGCTGAGGCAGAATTGCTTGAACCCAGGAGGTGAAGGTTGCAGTGAGCCAAGATCGTGCCACTGTACTCCAGCCTGGGCGACAGAGCAAGACTCTGTCTCAAAAAAAAAAAAAAAAAAAAAAAAAAAAAAGAACAATTCTTTTTTCCAACAAGCTCTGCAGTTGAAAAAAAATGTGTTTGGGTATAGGATTATAGGATGTGGGTAACCAGAAAAGACATGACTACTTTCCTAAATGCCAAAAAAGTCATCTGAGGGCAATCTAAGGAAGGTTATCAAGAAGAGTGTATCTAAGGACTTAAGACACAGATACTTTAGAACATTTGCTACAACAGTTGAGAGACACAACAATAGTAATTTTTTTAATCCAGTATATTTCTCAAAAGACTGTTAGATATTTTTACTAAAGCTTGAAGGAATAAACAATTCCTATCTTATGCAAACTGTTCCAGAGAATAAAAAAAGAAAGCTAACAAACTCATTTTATGAAGCCCATATAATCCTGATACACAACCAGACAAAAACAAGAAATCAAAATTACAGTCCAATCTCACTTTTGAATATTGATGCAAAGTTCTCAAGTAAATATTTGCAATTACAGTTCAGCATGTACTTCATATTTCATAGCCAAGTAGGATTTATCCCAAAAATGAAATAATTGTTCAAGCTGGACAAGGTGGCTCATTCCTGTAATCCCAGTGCTCTGGGAGGCTGAGGCAGGAGGATCACTTGAGGCCAGGAGTTTGAGACCAGCCTGGGCAACAAGAGAGACCCCCATCTCTACAAGAAGAAAAAAAAGAAAAGAAATAACTGTTCAATATTTGAAAATGTATTAAAGTAACTCCTCCTATTAAGAGTAGGTGGGGTGGCTCACACCTATAATTTCAACACTTTGAGAGACCAAGGTGGGAGGATTGCATGAGCCCACAAGTTCGAGACCAGGACAGGCAATATAATGAGACCCCATCTCTATGAAAAATTTAAAAATTAGCCAGACATGATGGCTCCCACGTGTGGTCCCAGCTACTTGGGAGGCTGAGGTGGGAGGATCTCTTGAACCTGGAAAGTCAAGGCTGCAGTGAGTCATGATCAAGCCACTACACTCCAGCCTTAAAGTACAGTGTCTCAAAAAAAAAAAAAAAAAGAAAGAAAGAGTACAAATGTCCAAAACCATATGATCATCTCAATAACAGAAAAGCTTTGACTAAATGTCAATACTCACTGTCATTCATGATTTTTTTAATTAAAAAAAACCCTCAGATTAAACTAGGAATAGAAGAGCACTGTTTTAATCTGAAAAAGCATCTCCACAAAAACCTACAGTTATCACTAGTAGAGTACTATAATAAAATCCCATTCTCTTTAAAGTCAGAAAGTCAAAAAAGCACCTGCTGTCTGCAGTTCTGATCACTATTTTAATAGAAGTTCTAGCCAACACAGCAAGACCAAGAAAAGAAACACGAAGTGTTAGAATTGGAAGAGACAAAATAACCACTATTTGAAGGCAATACAATAGTCTGCATAGAAAACTTTAAAGAATGTGCAGACTGTTAAATAAGAGAGGTCAATAAAGGTTGCCGGATTAAAAAAAAATCTTACAAACCTCAGTAACATTCCCATATGCTGGCAATAATGAATTAGAAAATAGAATTTTTTAAATATTTTGACGACAGCAACGAAAACTTAAAGGTACCTAAAAATAAAGCTAGCAAAAACTATGGAAGAGTTGTCTTGGGGTTTTGCTTGTTTTTGAGACAAAGTCTCACTATGTCACCCAGGCAGGAGTGTAGTGGCGCAATCACAACTCACTCCAGCCTCGATCTCCTGGGCTCAAGCAATCATCCCACCTCAGCCTCCCGAGTAGCTGGGACCACAGGTGAGTGTCACTACACGTAGCTAATTTATTTTTATTTCTGGTAGAGACAGGGTCTCACTATGTTGCCAAGGCTGGTCTCAAACTCCTGGGCTCAAGCAATCCTCCCACCTCGGCCTACCAAAGTGCTGCAATTACAGGTGTGAGCCACTGTGTCCAGCCCTCTGTGTACGAGTGTAAGGGCGTTGTTGTTGTTGTTGTTGTTGTTGTTTGTTGTTGCTGGTTGTTGTTGTTGTTGTTGTTGTTGTTGTTGTTTTGAGACAGCGTCTGGTTCTGCTGCCCAGGCTGGAGTGCGGTGACGCAATCTCAGCTCACTGCAACCTCCACTCCCAGGCTCAAGCAATTCTCATGCCTCAGCCTTCCAAGTAGCTGGGATTACAGGTGTGAGCCACCACATCCGGCTAATTTTTGTATTTTTTAGTAGAGACAAGGTTTCACCATGTTGGTTGGGCTGGTCTCTAACTCGTGGCCTCAAGTGATCCACCCACCTTAGCCCTCCCAAAATGCTGGAATTACAGGTGTGAACCACTGCGCCTGGCCTGTAAGAGCTTTTTAAAGAATACTTTAAGGCCAGGCGCAGTGGCTCACTCCTGTAATCCCAGCACGCTGGGGAGCTGAGGTGGGTGAATCACAAGGTCAGGAGTTCAAGACCAGCCTGGCCAACATAGTGAAATCCCGTCTCTACTAAAAATACAAAAATTAGCTGAGCATGGTGGCGTGCACCTGTAGTCCCAACTACTCGGGAGGCTGAGGGCAGGAGAATCGCTTGAACCCGGGAGGCAGAGGTTGCAGTGAGCTGAGACTGTGCCACTGCACTCCAGCCTGGGCAACAGAGCAAGACTCCATCTCAAAAAACAACAACAACAACAAAAAAAACTTTAGAACATTAGAACACTACTGAAAAACACAAGAGACATGAATAAACAATAAAACACATATACCATCTTCAAGGATAGGAATACTCAATTCGTATCCACGAAAGTCAAATTTGATGTCAAATTTTTTCCCAATTAATCTATAAATAATAATCAAGGGCGGGCACAGTGGCTCACACCTGTAATTCCAGCACTTTGGGAGGCCAAGGCAGGAGGATCATGAGGTCAGGAGTTCCAGACCAGCCTGGCCAACATGGTGAAACCCCATCTCTACTAAAAATACAAAAATTAGCTGGATGTCTCTACTAAAAATACAAAAATTAGCTGGACGTGGTGGTGGGCGCCTGTAATTCCAGCTACTCGGGAGGCTGAGGCAGGAGAATCATTTGAACCTGGGAGGCGGAGGTTGCAATGAGCCGAGATCATGCCATTGCACTCCAGCCTGGGCAACAAGAGCGAAACTCCATCTCAAAAAAATAAAAATAAAAATAAAAATAATAATAATAATCAAAACCCCATTATAATTTTCATGGAACTTAAGCTGATTCTAAAATGAACACTAAAGAGTAAGAGCCAAAGCTATTCTGAGAAAAAAAATGAGTAGGAATCGAACCCACTAGATTAAAACATGATAAAGTAATAGTGTTTAACACTGTGAGTATGGAACGTATGGAACACAGATAAATACATCAAAGAAACAAAAGACACCGAAAACATTCCCAAGCATAAATGGTACCTCCATATGATCAAAGAGGTGTGCCAAATGGGAATGCACTCTTTAATAAATAGTGTTGGGACAACTAGCCTTCCGCATGGAAAACAAAATTACCTATCTCCTTCACACCATACTCACAAATTAACTTAAAATTTTCTTAGAAAAAATATAGAAAGTCTTTATGACTTTGGAGTAGAAATGCATTTTTTAAACAGAAACAAATTATAAAAGAAAAAGACTGAAAAGTATTACTATATCAAAATTTTAAATTTCTAGATGATAAAAGATAATTTTTAAAAATGTCATAGAATAAAAAAGTATCTGCGAAAAATTCATATTTAACCTCTACAAAGAGTTCCTATAATTCCACTTAAAAATGCAATAGAAAAATGGGCAAAGATATGAACAGGTAATGAAAGGTGCTCAACCTTACCAGTAATCTGAGAAATAGAAATTTTTTGAATGAGCCATCATTTTACATTCATTAGACTGACCAAAATGTGAGTCACACAATACCAATTATCAAGGATCTACGAAACAGAAACTCTCACACACTGCTGATGGGATATCCATCAGAACAGCCTCCTGGAGGAGTAACGTGGCAATACCTAATTAGGTGTTGCCTAAGGATGAAGGGGTGTACGCTCTGTGACAAAACAATTTCTGATTATTTCCTCTCAGGAAACTAGCAGATACGCATAAGGAAATTTTTACTGCACCATTTTATATAACAGAGAAGTGAAAAATGCCCAAAAGGAAAAAAATCGTTGTATATTCGCGTTAGAATTCTGATGTGGATCTGTATGTGTCAGCACTGATACATGACAAAAACATAATATTGAGGGTTTTTCTTTTTAAAGACCAGGCAGAAAGTTATTTACGATGTGATACCATATTGGAAATGTTTGAACTCACAAAACGATGTATCTTTGTACATGTAATATACGGATAAAAATGGAGTAGAAACACAACCAGAAACTATCCACCAGAGGAAAGAAAAGAGGAAAAGAAGAGAGGGCTGATACTCAACCTATAATGTGCCATTTATTCATTTACTCTGATACAGAGATGAAATATGCAGTAATGACGTGTTCATTCTTGGTGGTGAGTCCATGGGGTTTTTGTGTGTGGGGTTTGTTTCTTTTTTTTTTTTTTTTTTTTTTTTTTTTTTTTTTTTTTAGATGGAGCCTCACTCTGTCCCCCAGGCTGGAGTGCAGTGGTGCAATTTCGGCTCACTGCAACCTCCACCTCCCGGATTCAAGTGAGTCTCCTGCCTCAGCCTCCCGAGTAGCTGGGATTACAGGCACCCGCCACCATCCCGGGTTAATTTTTGTATTTTTAGTAGAGATGGGGTGTTGCCATTTTGGCCAGGCTGGTCTCAAATCCCTGACCTCAGGTGATTCGCCCACCTTGGCCTCCCAAAGTGTTAGGATTACAGGCGTGAGCCACCGCGCCCAGCCCACTGTTATATTTTCTAGCTGCAGCCTAACTCTCTTCCCTAGGCCTTAAACCTCTTCACACCTGAACTCTTCCAATATTGAATGTCTAAAATGTGTGCCCTTTTTCTCAGCCCCTCGCTGCTCCTCCTCTAGCCTCTTTCTACACCACACATTCTCTGATCACCACACATTCTCCGCCTGAAGCTGCGGCAGGACCACCAATATCCTCCAACGACTTAAGAAAAAAAAGTAGGGAATAACTTTCTTCAAGCAACCAAGCAAATTCTGCACAGAAGCTCCAACAAACCAGACATAAGCAGAGCTGCCCCTGGAGGCAGGGACGGGGCTTGAGGATTCTCTAGTCCAGTGGGCCAGGCCCCAGAGAGAAGCCTCAAAAACAGTCTGAAAATTCCTGGTATGCAAAATAAAAACAGAATTCCTTAAGAGGACACTTGCAAGTCCCTTGCCACCCAGTCCTTCCCCACAGGTCTCCACCTCCTGGCGCTCTCCCCACCATCCCACAGCACCCCTGCTTCTCCACACCCCCACAGCACCTCACCTCCATGCCACGCAGAGAAAGTCTTGCTCCAGCACTCAGCACACACATCCACACACTTGCACAAAATGGTTCCACTCCCAGCCCCAAGACACGCAGCAGGCCAACTGTCCACGGTGACCCAGGGCCTCACTTCCACATCTCAGTATCCTCACTTCTGCCCGAACATCTTCTAACCTTGACTCCTGGGGCCTCTCTTGCCTCTCTTCTCTTCTCTCTCTCTCTCTCTCTCTCTCTCTCTCTCTCTCAACAAACTCAGCCCAACAATGTAACTGTTCTTTTACTCCCACCTCTTTGACATTTGTATTATCCTCCTAGCTTCTGCGACTGCTAAGGTTCTGATAGCTGCAGTCTGAGAGCTCTCCTGCTTTTTGACAGTGAATGAAATCCTGATAATAACTGTCTTCGCTTCCCGTCTCTATTAATGATGACAGGTTAAATGGGGCAGCCAACTGAATGCTACCAACAGCTTTAAATGGCAACACATTAAAGCAAAAGGTGCAAGGTCAGCCTTTTATAGCTGTCACACTTAACAAGGTTAAAATCTAATTTTCTGCTTTGAAAAGTCAGGGAGTTCAATTTATCAACTCAGCATGGAATGATCGGGTTCTGGGGCATTCACATTAATGAAATTCACAAAAGACTGATTCATCCTACAGAACACCAATTGTCATGGACTGAACCATGTCCCCACAGAATTCACTACGCAGAAGCCCTAACCCTCAATGTGACTGTATTTGGAGATGAAACTTTTAGAGAGGTGGTTGGGGTAAATGTGGGGTCCCCATCAATAAGAGTGGTGGCCTTATCAGCAGAGAAAGAGACACCAGCGAGGTCCCCAGCAACCCCACACACTGACACAGAGATGAGACCATGGGAGGACACAGAGAGAAGGCAGCCCTCTGCAGGCCGTGGGGAGAGGCCTCACGGGAAACCAACCCTGACAGCACCTTGATCTTGGACTTCCAACCTCCAGACTATGATAACATTAATTTCCCCAGTCTTTAGTATTTTTTATGGCAGCCCAAGCACACTAAGACACTCGTTTCTGAATTCAAAATGAGGACACAGCAGACCAATCATGCCTGTCATCAGGATAACCCATTCATGGCAGCAGAGCGTTTAGATCTAGAAAATCACATTCATGGCCAGTTTTTCAGCAAGCAAGGAACCGGAATGAGGTTACTTAAATGTTCTCAAAGAATCTGGAGTCCGCTTTCTAGTGATGTGAATACCCACATTCACCAAATACAGCTTTAGCCCTCCCCTGAATAAGCACTAATCAAGCACCTTCTCTCCAGCTGTTTTTTCCCTGTCGACATTCCCCACTGTTCACAAAGCCTGTTATTACAACATCGTGGCCCCCTAAAAACTTACAATTTCTAAAATCACAACTTATCTTATTAGAGCTACATGTAGAGAACAGACTTTCACTTTCTCTTGATTAATACATCCTACTCTTTAGAAAACTGTTTCCAAATAATAACCTGAAATATAGATAGTTCCAGGGAATCCTATCTTTTTTTTTTTTTGAGACGGAGTTTCACTCTTGTCACTCAGGCTGGAGTGCAGTGGCACGATCCCGGCTCACTGCAACCTCCACCCCCCAGCTTCAAGTGATTCTCCTGCCTCAGCCTCCCGAGTAGCTGGGATTACAGGCACGCACCACCACACCCAACTAATTTTTGTATTTTTGATAGAGACGGGGTTCCAACATGTTGGTCAGGCTGGTCTCGAACTCCTGACCTCAGCTGATCCACCCGCCTCAGCCTCCCAAAGTGCTGCGATTACATGCGTGAGCCACCACGCCCAGCCAAGAATCCTATCCTTTAACAACCGACTAACCTCGGGAAGACTCCTACAGGAAATAAAGAGTGAGTAGAACGCCCCATGCCAAACTGCAAGGACACTTCTGTTATTCTCTACCGATTAAAACTTAAACAAAAACAGAATACTACTAAACACAATAAAAACAGTCATCAGGCCTATCATTTCCACCAAAAAAAAAAAAAAGAATCTTTCAATAGAGTGAATAGTGTAGTACAAGAGATATTCAGTCCATTAAGTTACTAAGCTAACAGACTGTATGTACTTAAAATTACAAATTTACCTTAAAGACCAGATATACTTTTTCTAGGCAGTTCAGGCATTTATAATTGAATAAATGGACCCTGCTGACTATCCAAGCTGAGATTCCAACGACAGTGACAAGGGGCTTTATCAGAATGGAACAGAAGGACTAGAAAGTTGTGGGGTAACCAGAACGGTCTTCTAAAAGAAGATGGTAAGTACATTAATATATCTTGAAAAACAGAATCAGAACACTTAGAACAATTCTGAGAAACACAAACCTTTATAAACCCAAGGATAGAGCTTTACTTACATGAAGGAATAATGAACTGGGGCTCAGTGTTGCCTGCGTAGCCAAGCTTGGTATACCTAAAAGCACAAAGTCATCAACACATGTTTAGATAATAATACTCTCGTCTATATTGGATTAATGTCTTTTATTATAAGCTCTCCAAGTCCTAAAATAGCAAGCCTCAGAATACTCCTTGAAATTAAAAAAAAAAAACAAACTTGTGATCACTGAGAATCAAACACTAACTTCAAAGAAAGCAGTTTTGCAAAAACTTAAAATATTATGCTTGTTTCTAGTAGAAAAAAAGAAACACATATATACTAACATATAAATTACATTTATGCATCCCTAATAACTTTAAAAGTGCCTTTACACTCTATCTTTACAAAAACCTTGTGAAGAAAGTAGAAATTATCCCTGTTTTGCAAATGAGAAAAGGGAGGCACTGAGAAGTTGATTAAACTGCCCACATTAGTGAACTGCAGAAAAAGAACTCCCATCTACATATGCAGGCTAATTCCAACACTGGCTCTCTAAGAAGTGTACTTACTTCCTAGAACTTTTATACAAACTTCCTGAACTTTGCGGGGTGGGGGGCGGCGGTTAGAAAATGATTATATAATTTTCTTAAAATGTCATGGCATATGTCTAAGAAACAGCTACTGCCGTCTCCTGAGAATCATCTGACAAGAGCATCTCTTCATCATCTCATTTCAGAAGGAGCCCATTTTCTGTCAAGACACTGCATGATAGATTCCAAAAGTCTTAACTAAAACAAATGCCAAAATACTACTATCTGTTCCAAAAGCATTTGCTAGTCTCCTAAATATAAAAGGGGGGGTGGTGGGAAAAAAACCACCACTCAGAACCATCTGCTGGAAATAAAGTTGAAACGCGGTAAGTAAATCGAGAAGACTCATCAGCGCTTCCTTTCTTATTAGGACTACTCTAATTAACAGTAACGTCTGGACAACCAAGCCGTCATTCTGTAATAATGCTTATTATTATTATTTCAACACTGCTAACACTAGCAGTGTTGAAACTAACTTTATTCATTCAATTTTAAAAATTATTTCAATATGCTTAATATTAAATTTTTGATCCGGTAATATTTCTAAATTCTAATAAATTAATTTTACAATTTTTAAGTATGGTTTACCATATGCTAATTTTACTATTTTTGAACACACGGTGAATGGATAAGGTCTGGGGAAACCAAAAAAAAAACAAGTCAGCTCCCCTCAAATCACACATTGCTGCTCAACTTCCACAGGACCTGAGGTCTTCGTGCCACAGGAGCCAGGGCAATGCCAAGTCCTGAGACTCCTCAGGCCTACAAGGAGCTTCTGGAGGCAAGACCCAGGTGAAGTCCTCTCCAGCTCCACAACTCAAGAGCTGGAAACAGAGTACAAGGCCAAGTGGACCTACCACAACTCCACTCCGGGGTTCCACCTACAAGGTAGAATTCAGAGCCAACCAAGAGCCAACCCAGGATGGAGGCAATAGAGAGCCTGACCTTTAGAATTCCAGATCCTTCCCAATTTTAACATATTTCTGGAATTATATTCCAGAAAATAAATATAAATAAGTGAATTACTAACCCAAGGCTAAAGATGCCTATGGAATCCAACAAGCAGACCAGAAATCACTAAAATCATCAAATCTGTGTCTTTAACAAGCTACCTCAGCTACTTCCCACAAAATGATGCACCTTATGCTTAAATAAATCCACCTTCCCACACTGTTAGACTATGAGTTCCACACGCTGCCCAGAACAGGGTCCTTTCTCATGGTTATATCTACACCCCCGGCACAGTGACTGGCACATGGCAAATACTCCAGAAATAACTGCTGAATGTATTCTCACCAGTTGTAAAAAAGGTAATCATTGTCAAACTGCTAGCGGAAGGACCAATATTTGCAAGAGGGATGCTGAAAGTCAGAAAAAGAATCTGATGGAACCAGAAAAAAAAATCACAGACATCATCTCCTACAATCTCCTATTTAAGAGGAGCAGTGGCCTATGTGTAATGGGTTTCAGAAAAAAAAAAAACACTGAAACGAATATGGTAAAAATTAACATTTATTAAAATTAGGTGCTAAGTTTCATTCAGGCTATTATATCATTTTCGTATTTTGAGTATACTATACTGGTTAAGATCATGCACTTTGGCACCACACTGAGTTCAAATCCCAGCCCCACTATTTGACAAATGTGTATCTTTGGGCAAGTTACTTTACCTATCTGTATGTCAGTTACTGTAAAATGGGGATAATAGACTGAGGCAAGAGGACCCGTTAAGCCCAGGAGTTCGAGGTTGCAGTGAACTATGACTGCACCACTGCCCTGTAGCCCGGGTGACAGAGCGAGACCCTGTCTCGAAAAAAAAAAAAAAAATCTGAAAAGTTTAAAAAAACAAACAAAAAGCAATTTGTTCTGTATCCCAAGTGATAGCATTCATTCTTCCCACTGTGCACCATGGACAGTTTAATTTGTATAGTGGTGAGAATGAAATGTATGAAACAAATGGTAAATCTAGTAGATACCTGATAGGCCTTCAACAACTATGCCTCATTTCCATCCCAAAGTTTTGTACCCTGAAATCATAACTATGGCCCACAGCAGGAAAAGGTCAGACTACAAAAACAGACTTGAGCACTGTTAGGCTCACAGCTCTAAAATTCAACTAAACACTGATGATATGACTCAGCGACAGCTGCTGGAATGTTCAGATTCTTAAGTCACAACATTCTTTTAGACAGTATAGTCTTGGAAGGAGGTCTCTGTCAAAGTCACACGGGTACCTTAAGTATCAATGACATTAAGCCAACAATGATTTTCGTGACCGAGGCAAACTAACATGAAGATATATTAATTTTTTTTTTTTTTGAGACAGAGTTTCGCTCTTTCGAGCAGGCTAGAGAGTGCAGTGGCGCGATCTCGGCTCACTGCAACCTCCGCCTTTCTGTTTCAAGCGATTCTCCTGCCTCAGCCTCCTCAGTAGCTGGAATTACAGGCGCCTGCCACCACACCCGGCTAATTTTTGTATTTTTAGTAGAGATGGGGTTTCACCATGTTGGCCAGGCTGGTCTCGAACTCCTGACCTTGTGATCTGCCTGCCTCGGCCTCCCAAAGTGCTGGGTTACAGGCGTGAGCCACAGTGCCTGGCCCTAATATTCTTATGTGTTAACAACTTACTATGAGATCATTACCCTCCTAGCAGAACTGACGTTATTTTTAAAAACACTGGCAAAAGCACAAATTCTTCAGATCACTTTATTCTAATATAATATCTT